>NT_167245.2:3059722-3230568 GCF_000001405.40 Homo sapiens
CCTATGGCGATTCCCTTGGCAGTAGCCATGGTTCTCTGAGGCCTATGGAGAAAGAATAAGATACTGTTTTGGGAGAGTGCTTTTCAATGTTATTTATTTTTTTGAGACAGGGTCTTCCTCTGTCACCCAGGTTGGAGTGCAGAGGCGCAGTCATAGCTCACTGCAGCTTTGATCTCCTAGGCTCCAGCAATCTTCCTGCCTTAGCCTCCAGAATAACTGGAGACAACATGCCCGGCTAATTTTTTTTTTTTTTGAGACGGAGTCTTGCTTTGGACTGCAGTGGTGTGATCTAGGCTCACTGCAACCTCCACCTCCTGAGTTCAAGCGATTCTCCTGTCTCAGCCTCCCGAGTGGCTGGGATTATGAGGGCACCACCACGCCCAGCTAATTTTTGTATTTTTAGTAGAGATGGGGTTTCACGGTTTCACTATGTTGGCCAGGCTGGTCTCAAACTCCTGACCTCAGGTGATCCGCCCGCCTCGGCCTCCCAAAGTGCTGGGATTACATACGTGAGCCACCGTGACCAGCTCTCTGCCTGGCTAATGTTTTAATTTTGTGTACAGATGGGGTCTCCTTATGTTGCTCAGGCTGGTCTCAAACTCCTTCAGGGCTCAAACGATCCTTCAGCCCCAGCCTCCCCAAGTACTGGGATTACAGGAGTGAACATCTCGCCCAGCCTATTTTTTATTTTTTATTGTGGTAAAATACATACAAATTGTACCATCTTAACCATTTTTAAGTGTAGAGTTTGGTAGTGAGTTCAATCACAGCGGTGTTCAACCAATTTCCAGAATTCTGTTCATCTCGCAAAACTGAAACTGTATACTCATTAAGTAACTCCCGTTTTCCCCTCCCTTTATCGCCTGGTAACAACCATTTTTTTTTCTCATTTTTTAGAGACAGGGTCTCGTTTTGTCACGCAGGCTGCACTGCAGTGGTGTAATCATGGCTCACTGCAGTCTTGACCTCCCAGGCTCATAGGATCCTTTTGTCTCAGCCTCCCAAGTAGCTTGGACCACAGGTGAATGCCACCACACCCAGCTAATTTTTTATTTTTTTGTAGAGACCAGGTCTCCCTGTTGCCCAAGCTAGTTTCTCACTCCTGAGCTCAAGGAAACCTCCTCCCACCTCCAAGTCACCAAGTGTTAGGATTATAGGCTTGAGCCAAGGCGCCCGACCTCTTTTTTCTATCTCTATGAATTTGACTACTCTTGTAACTTCATATAAGTGGAATTATACAGTATTTATCCTTTTGTGACTTTGCTTATGTCACTTAGCTTATGTGCACAGGTTTCATCCATGTTGTAACATGTCACAATTTCCTTCCTAAGGCTGAGTAATATTCATATTTATATACCACTGTTTTTGATTTTGTTTTGAGACAGAGTCTCACTCTGTTACCCAGGCTGGAGTGCAGTGGCATGATCTTGGCTCACTGCAACCTCCACCTCCTGGGTTCAAGCTAATTCTCCAGCCTCAGCCTCCCGAGGAGCTGGGACTACAGGCGTGCACTGCCACGCCCAGATAATTTTTGTATTTTTAGTAAAAACAGAGTTTCACCATGTTGACCAGGATGGTCTCAAACTCCTAACCTTAAGTGATCCGCCCGCCTCGGTCTCCCTAAGTTCTGGGATGGCAGGCATGAGCCACCACCGCACCCGGCCTATATACATTTTGCTTATCTATCTCTCGATGGATACAGATTACAGAATTTACAGAATAATGTTGCTATGAGCAAGCCTATACAAATACATGGAGACGCTACTGTCATGGCAGACTGCTTTTTGGACAGGGTAGACAAAAGTATTCTCAGCTACTCAAAGAAGTTGGGAAGCAAGTAGCTGTATATTGTTTTCAATTTCCCAAGTGACCTAATTCTACTGTCCTGTTCCTATATATTTTACTGTGGGATTCTGTCTCTTTATGACCCAAGAGTAGTGTACATTCTGGTCTCTTCAAGAGACATCAGCCTCCACACTTGAGTTCTGCTGCCTTCCTGGGATAATATTCTCTATTAGGGGTTCACCGGCAGTAAATTCCAGTCAGGCTGAAGATGACTGCTAGAAAACCACAAGCCTTCCAGTTTTCTCAAACGACATGGCACTCCAGACAGTATCTGTATCCTTCTCCTAAATAAAACTCCTGTTTTCTGGAGCCAATAACTGATCAATAAAGGGTTTAAGGGCGGGGGGCGGTGGCTCACGCCTGTAATCCCAGCACTTTGAGAGGCCGAGGCGGGCGGATCACGGGGTCAGGAGAACGAGACCATCCTGGCTACCATCCTGGCTAACACGGTGAAACCTCGTCTCTACTAAAAAATAGAAAAAATTAGCTGGGCGTGGTGGCGGGCGCCAGTAGTTCCAGCTACTCGGATGGCTGAGGCAGGAGAATAGCTTGAACCCGGGAGGTGGAGCAATTAGCCGGGCGCGGTGGCGGGCGCCTGCAGTCCCTGCTACTCGGAAGGCTGAGGCAGGAGAATGGCCTGAACTCGGGAGGCAGAGCTTGCAGTGAGCCAAGATCGTGCCACTGCACTCCACCCTGGGCGACAGAGCGAGACTCCGTCTCAAAAAAAAAAAAAAAATTAAAAATAAATAAATAAAAATAAAATAAAGGGTTTAGTGTCTATCCCTCTCCACACCGCAGATTCCTAGGCCGCACTCCCTTTCCCCCGCTTCCCAGTTACCCCGCCTCCCCCTTACCCCGCCTTCCCCGCCTCCCCATTTCCCCGACAGGCCGCACTCCCTTCCCCCGCCTCCCCCATTCTGGCTGCTCCGACCAATCAATCTGAAGCCATCTTAGCTTTCCCCAAGTGCTCCTCCTACCCGGATCAGCCAACGCCCACATACCTCAGGCTTAAACCAACTAGGGAACTTTCCAGTACTTTCCCAAACAAGGACCTACTGAGCCTTTCAGGTTCACAATCAATCAGATCCCTACTGGCTCACCTAGTCTCCCGACGCCTTCGCTTCAGTTTGGAAACGTCCAGATTACGCAGCCCCAGCGAGTAGGTGGGGGCTCCCTCAATATCAAACTGCACAACCGGGGTCCCCCCACCCCCCACCCCGTCCCTCCCTGCAAATTTGAGACGGCTCCAACTCAGTAATCTTTTTCCAAACTGGCCCATGAGGTCAGAGACAGTATCTCCATTGTAACGTGGCCGGGCGGTGTCAACACAAACGCCCCCACCCTCCCCTGGACGCGCGTAACCCGCTCCCCGCACCAGCCCCCTGCCCACAACTGCGCAGGCCCAGCAAGCCCCCACAATTAAAAGCCCAGCGCCGACCCTTCCTGTCAATTAGGCGCTGAAGCGCAGGCGGTCAGCATCGCCATGGAGACCAACACCCTTCCCACCGCCACTCCCCCTTCCTCTCAGGGTCCCTGTCCCCTCCAGTGAATCCCAGAAGACTCTGGAGAGTTCTGAGCAGGGGGCGGCACTCTGGCCTCTGATTGGTCCAAGGAAGGCTGGGGGGCAGGACGGGAGGCGAAAACCCTGGAATATTCCCGACCTGGCAGCCTCATCGAGCTCGGTGATTGGCTCAGAAGGGAAAAGGCGGGTCTCCGTGACGACTTATAAAAGCCCAGGGGCAAGCGGTCCGGATAACGGCTAGCCTGAGGAGCTGCTGCGACAGTCCACTACCTTTTTCGAGAGTGACTCCCGTTGTCCCAAGGCTTCCCAGAGCGAACCTGTGCGGCTGCAGGCACCGGCGCGTCGAGTTTCCGGCGTCCGGAAGGACCGAGCTCTTCTCGCGGATCCAGTGTTCCGTTTCCAGCCCCCAATCTCAGAGCGGAGCCGACAGAGAGCAGGGAACCGGCATGGCCAAAGCCGCGGCGATCGGCATCGACCTGGGCACCACCTACTCCTGCGTGGGGGTGTTCCAACACGGCAAGGTGGAGATCATCGCCAACGACCAGGGCAACCGCACCACCCCCAGCTACGTGGCCTTCACGGACACCGAGCGGCTCATCGGGGATGCGGCCAAGAACCAGGTGGCGCTGAACCCGCAGAACACCGTGTTTGACGCGAAGCGGCTGATCGGCCGCAAGTTCGGCGACCCGGTGGTGCAGTCGGACATGAAGCACTGGCCTTTCCAGGTGATCAACGACGGAGACAAGCCCAAGGTGCAGGTGAGCTACAAGGGGGAGACCAAGGCATTCTACCCCGAGGAGATCTCGTCCATGGTGCTGACCAAGATGAAGGAGATCGCCGAGGCGTACCTGGGCTACCCGGTGACCAACGCGGTGATCACCGTGCCGGCCTACTTCAACGACTCGCAGCGCCAGGCCACCAAGGATGCGGGTGTGATCGCGGGGCTCAACGTGCTGCGGATCATCAACGAGCCCACGGCCGCCGCCATCGCCTACGGCCTGGACAGAACGGGCAAGGGGGAGCGCAACGTGCTCATCTTTGACCTGGGCGGGGGCACCTTCGACGTGTCCATCCTGACGATCGACGACGGCATCTTCGAGGTGAAGGCCACGGCCGGGGACACCCACCTGGGTGGGGAGGACTTTGACAACAGGCTGGTGAACCACTTCGTGGAGGAGTTCAAGAGAAAACACAAGAAGGACATCAGCCAGAACAAGCGAGCCGTGAGGCGGCTGCGCACCGCCTGCGAGAGGGCCAAGAGGACCCTGTCGTCCAGCACCCAGGCCAGCCTGGAGATCGACTCCCTGTTTGAGGGCATCGACTTCTACACGTCCATCACCAGGGCGAGGTTCGAGGAGCTGTGCTCCGACCTGTTCCGAAGCACCCTGGAGCCCGTGGAGAAGGCTCTGCGCGACGCCAAGCTGGACAAGGCCCAGATTCACGACCTGGTCCTGGTCGGGGGCTCCACCCGCATCCCCAAGGTGCAGAAGCTGCTGCAGGACTTCTTCAACGGGCGCGACCTGAACAAGAGCATCAACCCCGACGAGGCTGTGGCCTACGGGGCGGCGGTGCAGGCGGCCATCCTGATGGGGGACAAGTCCGAGAACGTGCAGGACCTGCTGCTGCTGGACGTGGCTCCCCTGTCGCTGGGGCTGGAGACGGCCGGAGGCGTGATGACTGCCCTGATCAAGCGCAACTCCACCATCCCCACCAAGCAGACGCAGATCTTCACCACCTACTCCGACAACCAACCCGGGGTGCTGATCCAGGTGTACGAGGGCGAGAGGGCCATGACGAAAGACAACAATCTGTTGGGGCGCTTCGAGCTGAGCGGCATCCCTCCGGCCCCCAGGGGCGTGCCCCAGATCGAGGTGACCTTCGACATCGATGCCAACGGCATCCTGAACGTCACGGCCACGGACAAGAGCACCGGCAAGGCCAACAAGATCACCATCACCAACGACAAGGGCCGCCTGAGCAAGGAGGAGATCGAGCGCATGGTGCAGGAGGCGGAGAAGTACAAAGCGGAGGACGAGGTGCAGCGCGAGAGGGTGTCAGCCAAGAACGCCCTGGAGTCCTACGCCTTCAACATGAAGAGCGCCGTGGAGGATGAGGGGCTCAAGGGCAAGATCAGCGAGGCGGACAAGAAGAAGGTGCTGGACAAGTGTCAAGAGGTCATCTCGTGGCTGGACGCCAACACCTTGGCCGAGAAGGACGAGTTTGAGCACAAGAGGAAGGAGCTGGAGCAGGTGTGTAACCCCATCATCAGCGGACTGTACCAGGGTGCCGGTGGTCCCGGGCCTGGGGGCTTCGGGGCTCAGGGTCCCAAGGGAGGGTCTGGGTCAGGCCCCACCATTGAGGAGGTAGATTAGGGGCCTTTCCAAGATTGCTGTTTTTGTTTTGGAGCTTCAAGACTTTGCATTTCCTAGTATTTCTGTTTGTCAGTTCTCAATTTCCTGTGTTTGCAATGTTGAAATTTTTTGGTGAAGTACTGAACTTGCTTTTTTTCCGGTTTCTACATGCAGAGATGAATTTATACTGCCATCTTACGACTATTTCTTCTTTTTAATACACTTAACTCAGGCCATTTTTTAAGTTGGTTACTTCAAAGTAAATAAACTTTAAAATTCAAGTGATGCCTTTTATTCCTTTATTTGGGGGTCAGTAGGGTCTGCATAGGTTGTTTTTCCCATAGCGTCTAAAATGGAATGGCATTTTTGCTTCCAGTAAGGGCAGATTTTGCAGAGGTGTGACTATTGTAATGTGATCCATTTGTGTTAGACAAATGGTATCCTCCAGTAAAGCTTCTTGATTCTGGCCAGGAGTGGTGGCTCAAGCCTGTAATCCCAGCACTTTGGGAGGCTGAGGTGGGCGGATCACTTGAGGTCAGGAGTTCCAGACCAACCTGGCCAATGTGGTGAAACCCTGTCTCTACTAAAAACACAAAAATTAGCTGGGCGTGGTGGTGCGTGCCTGTAGTCCCAGGGAGGCTGAGGCAGGAGAATCGTGTGAACCCAGGAAGCAGTGGTAGCAGTGAGCCGAGATCACGCCATTGCACTCTAGCCTGGGCATCACAGCAAGACTCCGTCTCACACACACACACAAAAAAGTAAAGTTTGTTGATGCTGATTGGGTTTAGCCTGAGGGTACAGAAAAAGTTTAACACCTGGGAGGGTAGCCTTAAAGTGATGTTTGTGTAAGATTGGTCTCAAAAGAGGTGGGAGGGGGGCGGGGATGTTTCTGCAAAAGTGGTCAAAAAGAATGCAGTTAGATGGGAGGCCAGCGCTCCTACCTCCTGTAGGTACACCTGATATGCTCATGGACTTGATACTTAATCTAGATTCAACATGGAATGGAAGGAGTGTCCTAAATTTCAAAGTGAAAAAACGGGTACATTCACTGGCTTGCTGAGTTATACACATGTGCTTTAGTTGTCATCTTTTAAAATGGAAGGGTTTGGCTCGATGCCTCTCTCATGACTGAAAGCATACTGAAATAGAAATGTCACATTCTTAGCAGTTATCACCTACAATTTAAGTACGCCAGTGAGCACCCGGGCCAGGAAGACCTACAGACTTCACTCCCATGCACTTTCCCTTGGAGATGCTTCATGCCCCAGCCGCTAGCATCCTAGAAGTAATTCCCTCCTCCTTGGAAAACGCCCACTACAATCCTTAAAGCTCCCGGAGTGAGCCCTTTTAAAAATGAATTGTATCTGGCCGGGCGTGCTGGCTCATGCCTGTAATCCCAGCACTTTGGGAGGCTGAGGCAGGCGGATCACCTGAGGTCAGGAGTTCGAGACCAGCCTGGCCAACATGGTGAGGACCCCCCCCACCACCCACCTCCTGCACTAAAAGTACAAAAATCAGCCAGGCGCGATGGTGTGCGCCTGTAATCCCAGCTATTCGGGAGGCTGAGGCAGGCGAATCGTTTGAACTCAAAGGCAGAGGTTTCAGTGAGCCGAGATTGCGCCACTGCACTCCAGCCTAGGTGACAGAGCGAGACTCCATCTCAAAAAATAAAAATTGTGTCGGCCAGGCGCAGTGGCTCATGCCTGTAATCCCAGCACTTTGGGAGGCCGAGGTGGGTGGATCACCTGAGGTCAGGAGTTCAAGACCAGCCTGGCCAACAGGGTGAAACCCCATCTCTACTAAAAATACAAAAAATTAGCTGGGCGTGGTGGCGGGCACCTATAATCCCAGCAACTTGGGAGGCTGAGGCAGAAGAATCGGTTGAACCCAGGAGGTGGATGTTGCAGTGAGCCAAGATCGTGCCATTGCACTCCAGCCTGAACAATGAGTGAAATTCTGTCTCAGTGAATAAATAAATAAATAGTATCTAAGGGCGATGAAAATGTTTTGGAACCAGAGTTGACGGTTGCATAACATTGTAAAGGTCAAGGCTGCAGTGAGCCATGACTGTACCACTGCACTCCAGCCTGAGCAACAGAGTGAGACCCTGTCTCTAAAAAAAAAAAAAAGAAAAAAAAATCAATTGTATCAATATTACATTAAAGCACTTTATGAGCTTATGTGTACCTCAAAGCCCATCAAACCATTCACTAAATACTTGTTAATGAAGAAAATCCAGTGTTATGGGAAATGATACATAAAGGTAGACCTTGCTTTGGAAGTTTGAAAATAGAAAATAAATATGAAATGCTTAGGTTTCCAGGCCAGTCTACAGAGGAACATTTATCTCTTATGGTAGTTAAACTGTAGTACTGTGGACTCTGGCCACAATGTAAATCAATCTTCATGGGAATATGCCTTTGCTATAGGACCTCCTCTCCCCTTCAGAGCTGCAGTAGCATTTGTGACTCTGATCTGCAGACCCTGTAGTGACTCTAAACCAGGAGCAACTACCACTACTGTGGCATGGAGTGGGGAAAAAGGTAATTGGAAAAGGGTGGAGATGGGGAAGGACCTACCAAATGCCTTTGTTGACACAGTAGAGAAGTCATCAGACATAACATTGAATGGAGGCAATAAGAGAGTTCCTATGGCCCTATCAAGCTTATTAGTAGGTGTTTTAACAAGAAATATGTAAAAATTATTACTTGTCGGCCGGGCGTGGTGGCTCATGCCTGTAATCCCAGCACTCTGGGAGGCCGAGGCGGGTGGCTCACTAGGTCAGGAGTTCAAGACAAGCCTGGCCAAGATGGTGAAACCCCACCTCTACTAAAAATACAAAAATTAGCTAGGCGTGGTGGTGGGCGCCTGTAATCCCAGCTACTCAGGAGGCTGAGGCAGGAGACTCACTTGAACCCGGGAGGTGGAGGTTGCAGTGAGCCGAGATCGTGCCACTGCACTGCAGCCTGGGCGACAGAGCAAGACTCCGTCTCCAAAAAAAAAAAAAAAAAAAAAATTGTTTGCCTGCATACCCTAGCACAGAGTACTGTACCTTGAAATATTCACTTTGTAACCTCAAGAAAAGACGTTGAGGGAGCTGTGGAATTAGCAAAGAGAATGCAGTGCCACCCATAAACGGAGTGATGTTTTGAGGAGCAGAGGAACTTTGAGGGAGGAAAGTGCAACAGGAAAAATAACTGCAGGTGTGGAAAAACAAATATAAATATCTTCTCAATTCCAATCACCTCCTACCTTCCTATACCAGGCCTCAGAAGGCAGCAGGCTATGATAATAAATTTGATTTTATATGGCTTTGAACCCAGGATTTTATTTTATAACATATACACTTACTGTTATTCCTGGTCTTCAAGAGTTCTTGTCATCCTCAAAAAGACAAAAAAGGTACCAAAACAAAAAATTAACTACAGTATTTTATAGATGTGAGAGAAGTGGGCAGAAATAATACGGCTTTAGGCTAAAAAAGGAAATGAGGTTATTTCTTGGGGGAGCCAATATTGGCGATTTCTGAGGGAGCGATCCTTACGTGAATATAAAAAATTGTGACAGCCACCATTCCTCCTGCTAACTGATCTAAATCCATCCCCTTGGGAAACGCCCCTGAGGTATCTATCAGGTGTAGTTCAGCCAGAGGGAGTAAACCCACCGGGCCCTCGTCCTTTCCTAGCACCACCATTTAAAGGGATGTTTGAGGGGTAGGGCAGCGGAGCATTCCAGACACGGAGTTAAACCCGCCCCACCCCGCTGGCCCACGTCCAGCCCGATCAAGAATTGGAGGAGAGAGGAGCAGGGCGTGGTGGCGCGGGCCTGGAGTCCCAGCTACCCGGGAGGCTGGGGCGGGAGGATCGCTTGAGGCTGCAGTGAGCCGTGATTGCGCCACTGCACTCCAGTCTGGGCGACAAAGCGAGACCCTGCCTCAAAAAAAAGTGAAAAAAAAAAAAATTAGAAGGGAGGGCACCAGAGGAGGGCTGGAGCAGGTTCACAGGCTGGGACTACGGAGGAGCCCAGCAACCGAGAATCACTCCTGAGGGTCTAATTTTCTTACTCTCCTGATGCCTCACGGGGCGAGGGACTAGAACGGGGCGCTGAGCTGGCTGTAGGCAAAAGCCAACCGACTCCATCCCCTACTCTCCCATCAGTCGCGCGTCCCCGCGCAGACGGGTGCGCGCTGGCCGTGGGCGGTGGGGACCTTCTCTTCTCGCCTCTGGCCACCCAATGCATCTGATTTAGTTGTATGAAAGTTACAAAATTCTCCAATATTTTCGTCTTGTAAATCACCTAGTATGAGAGAAACTCGAAAGGTCCTTTCTTTCCTCCTTTAATCCCTTTTTGGAAAAAAAAAAACATCAGAAAACGCAGGAGTCGGATAGGCAGCCCCGAAGCCAGCCCCGCCCTCAGGCCCCAGCGGCCCCGCCTTTTCTCCCCCCGCCCCCCCCCCGCACTCCCCACCTTTCCTCCCCTTTGGCTGAGGCTTTTTCCCCCGTCGCTGGCTCTGCCCGAAGTTTCTAGAGTTTTCTGACCTTCAAGGCGAGAACTGCTGTGTCATTCTTAGGGACACTCCCCAACAAACTGCGCCACCCGAGTCTCTCCCTCCTCTCGCCAGCCGGCCCTAAAACATCAAGGTTAGTCAGGACTCTATATTTAACGTCCGGAAGATTCTGTGAACTATATGCCAACCTTGCCCTAGTAACGGGGCTCCCCCCTCCTTTCCCCTCTTTCTGCTTGAGCAATCTGTTCTATCGGAAAGGAGAGGCAGGGCTGGGAGAGCTGGAAGGTGGGGAAGGCAAGAGCTTGTAGGGGCCATGGTCTTGAGTCCGAAGAGCAGAGCAGCAGCCAGGACGGGAGTCCCTGGCTGATCACATACCCGTGGTGCCCTTAATGCTCGCAGAGGCCAACACTGTATTCATTTGTTTTCCTCTTTAGAGAATAAAACAATTAGGTCTAACCACAAAATTAAAAGCAAACAAAACCCAGTTAGGTTGATGAGCCAATGTGGGAAGGAGTACAAAATGAGTGTCAGAACCCGTGGGTCCAATCACCGGTTCTGTAACCTGTCATCTGGGTAACCAGATCAAGCCACTGAACTTCTTTGATCCTTGGTGCTGTCTTTGAAAATGAAAAGGTTTGACTGAATGGCCTGTGCCCGCAGATCTTAGGACAGTTTTTACATTAAGCTGAAAGCAGCTGTAGTCCTAATAATGGTCCCCAACTTTTAAACACCTAAATAAGAATGACTACGAGTCATATCCGAGAGTATGGGATCCCCAATAAAAGGAGGGAGAAGATCATATTCTCTTTGATCATGTAGGGAAAAAAAATTTTTTTATTCGAGACAGGATCTCTGTCTCCCAGGCTGGAATGCAGTGGCGTGATCATAGCTCACTGCAGCCTTGACCTCTTGTGCTCAAGCGATCCTCCTGCCTCAGCCTCCCAAGTAGCTGGGACTACAGGCACCTGCCACCACGCCCAGCTAACTTGTAAAGTTTTTAGTAGAGATGGTGTCCCACTATGTTGCCCAGGCTGATCTTGGACTTCTGAGTTCAAGTGCCTGCCTTGGCTTCCTAAAGCACTGGGATTACCGACCTGAGTCACCACACGCAGTTCAGTTATTGTTAATTATGTTTTAGAGATGAACACGTCGAAACTTGTGTTATTTAGTCAATGTACAAGTACTTCCTTGTTGAAAAGAAAAACAGCCTCACCAAAGAAGTAGAGCGCAGATGCAAATCCAGGATTTTCCCTTCCCAGATTTTTTCTTTCCATGCTGCTAGAAATGGCCAGGGTTCTCTTTGTCATTGAAGCATTTGTCATTCATTCAGTTAAGAATGCCTGCCTCTAGATTTCATATCAATTAACTCTTTTGCTTTCATTTAAGTTCATTTGGATAAACTTAAAATTATAACAGCTTTTTTTTTTAATTTATTATTTTTTTGAGACAGAGTCTTGCTCTGTCACCCAGACTGGAGTGTAGTGGTGCGATCTCAGCTCACTGCAACCTCCACCTCCCAGGTTCAAGTGATTCTCCTGCCTCAGCTCCTGAGTAGCTGGGATTACAGATGTGCACCACCACGTCCGGCTAATTTTTGTGTTTTTAGGAGAGAAGGGGTTTTGCCATGTTTGCCGGGCTGGTCTTGAACTCCTGATCTCAGGTGATCCACCCATCTCGGCCTCCCAAAGTGCTGGGATTACATGCATGAGCCATCGCGCCCGGCCTATACCATCTTTTAAAATGAACAAAATTAAGAAAACTACTGTTTGAGGAACTATAAAAAGGAGAGGGAGAAGGAAGGAAAAGACCCTGCAGCGTCAGCCTGAAGAAGGCTGTCTTACCCCACACTGCTGTAGCAATTATGTTCTTGGCACTCCCTCTTCAGTTCTCTTGTCCCTTTGAAAGCATCTAACCTGGCTTTCACTTTGGGGACTCTGAGCTCTGATCCTTCCAAACACAGAATCCAATAAAAACCTAATTCTGAAATTAATCACATTAAAGTTCTGAAAAATCTCCTGGGGTTCTTATATATTCACCTTAGACAGCAATTAAACTTGTGACTGGATTTCTGCCTTGGGAAGCATCCAGTCTGAAAGGAAAGAAAAGGCCGGCGTGGTGCTTCATGCCTGTAATTCCAGCACTTTGGGCGGCCCAGACGGGCGGATCACTTGAGGTCAGGAGTTCGAGACCAGACTGGCCAACATGACGAAACCCCCTCTCTACTAAAAATACAAAAATTAGCCAGGCGTGGTGGTGTGCACCTGTAATCCCAGCCACTCAGGAGGCTGAGGCAGGAGAATCGCTTGAACCTGGGAGGTGGAGGTTGCAGTGAGCCAAGACTGTGCCATTGCACTCCAGCCTGGGCGACAGAGCAAGACTCTGTCTCAAAAAAAAAAAAAAGAAAAAAAAAAGAAAATTCAGGTGACCCTCTCCTTGTCAGGAAATGGACAAGGAATATGTATGTGTGGGTTTCCAGTCTAGTCCACAGAGGCTTCACTTAAAAGCTAGGTCAACTATAGCACTGTAGACTCTGACTAGTGTGACTGATTGAAGAAAAACAGCATTTATATTGGATTTTTCTGCTATCCAGAGAGCACCCAAGATTTGGGGTCCCAACACCACATCTACTTGCTAGGCAGTTGAGACAGTGATGCCCTTTGCTTCATGCCAATAGAGAGGTTTTTTCTCCCCCTCTCCCACCCCCCACTCCCCACTTTTTATGTTTCTCAGCAGAATCAGAGAAGTATTTTATTTTTGAGAAGGAGTTTCGCTCTTGTTGCCCAGGCTGGAGTGCAGTGGCGCGATCTCGGCTCACCGCAACCTCCGCCTCCTGGGTTCAAATGATTCTCCTGCCTCAGACTCCCAAGTAGCTGGGATTACAGGCATGCGCCACCATGCCCAGGTAATTTTTTTTTTTTTTTTTTTTGGTATTTTTAGTAGAGACCGGCTTTCTCCATGTTGGTCAGGCTGGTCTCGAATTTCTGACCTCAGGTGATCTGCTGCTTCGGCCTCCCAAAGTGCTGGGATTACAGGTGTGAGCCACTGTGCTGGCCTTTTAAATTGTGGATTTGGAAGGAGGGAAGGAATGAATCCAGACCTGCCAGTAGTAGCAGTTGATGGTGAGGAAGTTTCCAGAGGGAGGGGTGAGGTTAAGGGTCTCTGGAAGTGTTGATACACTGTGCAGCTAAGATGAACATAGTTTGGGAGAATCTCCAGCCAGACATTTCATAGAGAAATGTTTGGGAAAATTCCTGAAGTTTGACCGGTTTGACTAGTTTAGAGAGGTGATTCATTAGGGAGCTAAAGCTGAATGTGAAAGTTATCACCTACCTGCACATACAGACACACACATATTGTTAAAGCAATTTATTTGCAACATGAGTTTAGATCAGTGAATTATAAACAAATGAATACCCTTAAATTCCAGGAAGAGGTGTTTTGATAGTGGACAGGTGTGTGTGTGCAGGTGTGCATATGAAAAGTGCCAATTGAGCAAAGTGTTTAAAAACAGGATTATTCCTTCATCAGTAACTTCTTCCTTTCATTTGTGCTCAAGGAATATCGCCATGGCAATGAGGCTATTTTTTTTTTCTTTTCTTTTTTTTTTTTGTGGTAGGTTGTAAACACAGTACTATTGCTTCAACCCCCTCACATTTTCCTTTCAGACGCCTAACAAAGGGTCTTGCATTCACACTAAGAATGAAGGAAAAAAACAAAGGGAAAGTAAATTACTAAATGCAACCGTATTTAAAACAGGAGGAAGGAGAATCCGCAGGAAGTTGGAATCTAGGATAAAAACTTAGACACATTCAGCCTGGCCAACATGGCGAAACCCTGTCTCTATTAAAAATACAAAAATTAGCCCGGCGTGGTGGCACATCCTGTAATTCCAGCTATTGGGGAGGCTGAGGCAGCAGAATTGTTTGAACCCCAGGGGCAGAGGTTGCAATGAGCAGAGATCTCACCACTGCACTCCAGCCTGGGCGACAGAGTGAGACTCAGTCTCAAAACAAACAAACAAAAACAACAGGCCGGGAATGGTGGCTCACGCCTGTAATCCCAGCACTTTGGGAGCCCGAGGTGGGCGGATCACGAGGTCAGGAGTTCGAGACCAGCCTGACCAACATGGGCGGATCACGAGGTCAGGAGTTCGAGACCAGCCTGACCAACATGGGGAAACCCTGTCTCTACTAAAAATACAAAAATTAGCCAGGCGTGGTGGCGCACGCCTGTAATCCTAGCTACTCAGGAGGCTGAGGTAGGAGAATTGCTTAAACCCGGGAGGCGGAGGTTGCAGTGAGCCGAGATCACGCCACTGCACTCCAGCTTGGGCGACAGAGCGAGACTGTCTCAAAACGAAAACAACAAACTTAAGACACATAACCTGAGGTGTTAAGAGGAGCTAGTAACTAGAACCTGGGTCCCAACCCCTCCTGCTTTCCAGCATCACTCCACACAGTTTGCTTAAAGAGGGCCACCTGCCAAACAGCTGTAGTATGTGATGTTAAAGAGAGCTAAACACCCCCCGCACCTCCCTCCCAGGGTCACCATCTTGTTAAATTTGACCTAAAAACGGTAACAGCCTAGGGGTTTCAGGGACAGACAGAAAATCTTACTCGGGACTGTGAGGTCCTACTTCTACACACCGTCCAGGAGTGAACCAGGAATTGAGAAAGTAGGAAGGAGGTGTCCCAGACCCCAAGCTAGGAATGGGGAGGGAAATGGAGGAATCCCAAATGCCTTAAGGACGGCCTACATACTAAGGAAAATTTTTTTCTAACTCCTGGTTGCAGCTGAGGGGAGCGGCTGAGGGCGGGGACAGGGGTGCGGCGGACCCACTGCTCCCATTACCCGACCAGCGCCTCCCTTCCTCCTTGGATGGGTGCCCCTGTCTTGCTAAGAACTGCCTGTTTACACAACTGCTTTCCTTGTGAAAATTTAAAGGCTCCTATTCCCAGTTGTTCTATCCTTGTAGGTTAAAGATTATGTCAAAAACTATATTGCATTATCTCTTTCCTTCTCCTTCCCATTAAGACGGAAAAAACATCCGGGAGAGCCGGTCCGTTTCTCAGGCAGACTAGGCCATTAGGTGCCTCGGAGAAAGGACCCAAGGCTGCTCCGTCCTTCACAGACACAGTCCAATCAGAGTTTCCCAGGCACATCGATGCACCGCCTCCTTCGAGAAACAAGGTAACTTTCGGGTTCTGGTTGTCTCCAAAGTCATCCGACCAATCTCGCACCGCCCAGAGCGGGCCCTTCCTGTCAATTACCTACTGAAGGGCAGGCGGCCAGCATCGCCATGGAGACCAACACCCTTCCCACCACCACTCCCCCTTTCTCTCAGGGCCCCTGTCCCCTCCAGTGAATCCCAGAAGACTCTGGAGAGTTCTGAGCAGAGGGCGGCACCCTGCCCTCTGATTGGTCCAAGGAAGGCTGGGGGGCAGGACGGGAGGCGAAACCCCTGGAATATTCCCGACCTGGCAGCCTCATCGAGCTTGGTGATTGGCTCAGAAGGGGAAAGGCGGGTCTCCACGACGACTTATAAAAGCCGAGGGGCGCGCGGTCCGGAAAACGGCCAGCCTGAGGAGCTGCTGCGAGGGTCCGCTTCGTCTTTCGAGAGTGACTCCCGCGGTCCCAAGGCTTTCCAGAGCGAACCTGTGCGGCTGCAGGCACCGGCGTGTTGAGTTTCCGGCGTTCCGAAGGACTGAGCTCTTGTCGCGGATCCCGTCCGCCGTTTCCAGCCCCCAGTCTCAGAGCGGAGCCCACAGAGCAGGGCACCGGCATGGCCAAAGCCGCGGCGATCGGCATCGACCTGGGCACCACCTACTCCTGCGTGGGGGTGTTCCAACACGGCAAGGTGGAGATCATCGCCAACGACCAGGGCAACCGCACCACCCCCAGCTACGTGGCCTTCACGGACACCGAGCGGCTCATCGGGGATGCGGCCAAGAACCAGGTGGCGCTGAACCCGCAGAACACCGTGTTTGACGCGAAGCGGCTGATCGGCCGCAAGTTCGGCGACCCGGTGGTGCAGTCGGACATGAAGCACTGGCCTTTCCAGGTGATCAACGACGGAGACAAGCCCAAGGTGCAGGTGAGCTACAAGGGGGAGACCAAGGCATTCTACCCCGAGGAGATCTCGTCCATGGTGCTGACCAAGATGAAGGAGATCGCCGAGGCGTACCTGGGCTACCCGGTGACCAACGCGGTGATCACCGTGCCGGCCTACTTCAACGACTCGCAGCGCCAGGCCACCAAGGATGCGGGTGTGATCGCGGGGCTCAACGTGCTGCGGATCATCAACGAGCCCACGGCCGCCGCCATCGCCTACGGCCTGGACAGAACGGGCAAGGGGGAGCGCAACGTGCTCATCTTTGACCTGGGCGGGGGCACCTTCGACGTGTCCATCCTGACGATCGACGACGGCATCTTCGAGGTGAAGGCCACGGCCGGGGACACCCACCTGGGTGGGGAGGACTTTGACAACAGGCTGGTGAACCACTTCGTGGAGGAGTTCAAGAGAAAACACAAGAAGGACATCAGCCAGAACAAGCGAGCCGTGAGGCGGCTGCGCACCGCCTGCGAGAGGGCCAAGAGGACCCTGTCGTCCAGCACCCAGGCCAGCCTGGAGATCGACTCCCTGTTTGAGGGCATCGACTTCTACACGTCCATCACCAGGGCGAGGTTCGAGGAGCTGTGCTCCGACCTGTTCCGAAGCACCCTGGAGCCCGTGGAGAAGGCTCTGCGCGACGCCAAGCTGGACAAGGCCCAGATTCACGACCTGGTCCTGGTCGGGGGCTCCACCCGCATCCCCAAGGTGCAGAAGCTGCTGCAAGACTTCTTCAACGGGCGCGACCTGAACAAGAGCATCAACCCCGACGAGGCTGTGGCCTACGGGGCGGCGGTGCAGGCGGCCATCCTGATGGGGGACAAGTCCGAGAACGTGCAGGACCTGCTGCTGCTGGACGTGGCTCCCCTGTCGCTGGGGCTGGAGACGGCCGGAGGCGTGATGACTGCCCTGATCAAGCGCAACTCCACCATCCCCACCAAGCAGACGCAGATCTTCACCACCTACTCCGACAACCAACCCGGGGTGCTGATCCAGGTGTACGAGGGCGAGAGGGCCATGACGAAAGACAACAATCTGTTGGGGCGCTTCGAGCTGAGCGGCATCCCTCCGGCCCCCAGGGGCGTGCCCCAGATCGAGGTGACCTTCGACATCGATGCCAACGGCATCCTGAACGTCACGGCCACGGACAAGAGCACCGGCAAGGCCAACAAGATCACCATCACCAACGACAAGGGCCGCCTGAGCAAGGAGGAGATCGAGCGCATGGTGCAGGAGGCGGAGAAGTACAAAGCGGAGGACGAGGTGCAGCGCGAGAGGGTGTCAGCCAAGAACGCCCTGGAGTCCTACGCCTTCAACATGAAGAGCGCCGTGGAGGATGAGGGGCTCAAGGGCAAGATCAGCGAGGCGGACAAGAAGAAGGTTCTGGACAAGTGTCAAGAGGTCATCTCGTGGCTGGACGCCAACACCTTGGCCGAGAAGGACGAGTTTGAGCACAAGAGGAAGGAGCTGGAGCAGGTGTGTAACCCCATCATCAGCGGACTGTACCAGGGTGCCGGTGGTCCCGGGCCTGGCGGCTTCGGGGCTCAGGGTCCCAAGGGAGGGTCTGGGTCAGGCCCTACCATTGAGGAGGTGGATTAGGGGCCTTTGTTCTTTAGTATGTTTGTCTTTGAGGTGGACTGTTGGGACTCAAGGACTTTGCTGCTGTTTTCCTATGTCATTTCTGCTTCAGCTCTTTGCTGCTTCACTTCTTTGTAAAGTTGTAACCTGATGGTAATTAGCTGGCTTCATTATTTTTGTAGTACAACCGATATGTTCATTAGAATTCTTTGCATTTAATGTTGATACTGTAAGGGTGTTTCGTTCCCTTTAAATGAATCAACACTGCCACCTTCTGTACGAGTTTGTTTGTTTTTTTTTTTTTTTTTTTTTTTTGCTTGGCGAAAACACTACAAAGGCTGGGAATGTATGTTTTTATAATTTGTTTATTTAAATATGAAAAATAAAATGTTAAACTTTTTCTTGTCTGTTAATATGTGAAGATAATGGATATTTGCGGAGGGATAGTGTCTGAATACCATCTATCTTTATAGTCTGAAAAGAACAGTACTGCTGAAGAGTTATACGTGTAGGAGTTAGAGCTACACATATTTTTGTTTGGGCTTAATTGTGGGCCTTAAGAGAAATTGCAGGTGCCCGTCTTGATTAGAGTGGGGCTTGTTTCAGGGAAAAGTCGGATGGCAGCTGCAAAACGGTATTGGAGGGGTGGTTGAGGTGGGTTCACTGGGGCGGGGAGGGGAGGGGTGGTGCTGAGATGGGATTATGGTGGTTTTCTCTCCCTCTTCTACTTAGTGAGCGGAGTCCACAAAAAAATGCTGACTTTTTTTTTTTTTTTTTTTGAGACGGAGTCTCACTCTCACTCTTGTCGCCCAGGCTGGAGTGCAGTGGCGCAATCTCAGCTCACGGTAACTTCCGCCTCCCGGGTTCAAGCGATTCTCCTGCCTCAGCCTCCTGAGTAACTGGGACTACAGGCGCCTGCCACCACGCCTGGCTAATTTTTTGTATTTTTGGTAGAGACAGGGTTTTACCGTGTTAGCCAGGATGGTCTCAATCTCCTGACCTCGGCTCATATTCATTTATATGTGGAATCTAAACAGTAGAACTCAGAAGCAGAGAAGTGGTGGTCACCAAGGGCTGTGGGATGGGGGAATGGGGAGACGTGCAAGGGAAACAAAGCCTTAGTCAGGAGAAATAAATTGTATTTTTTTTTTTTTGAAACGGGATATTGCTCTGTCACCCAGGCTGGAGCACAGTAGAGCTCACTGTAGTCTCAAACTCCTGGGTTCAAGCAATCCTCCCACCTTAGCCTCCTGAGTACTGGGTCTACAGGTATGTGCCATCATGCTCAGCTAATTTTTTGTATTTTGTAGAGACGAAGTCTTGCTGTGTTGCCCAGGTTGGTCTCGAACTCTTCAGCTCAAGCGATCCCCTTGTCTAGTCCTCCCAAAGTGCTGGGATTATAGGCGTGAGCCACTGTGCCCTGCCAGTTTTTGTGTTTTTTTTTGGGGGGGTGGTGGGTGGAGGGTATATATTGCATGGCATGGTGAAAATAGTTAATAGTGTATTGTATATTTCAAAATTTCAAATGTTCTTGTCACAAAAATATTTGAGGTGATATGTTAATTAGCTTGATTTAATTACTCCATATTGTGTTAATAACTACTTTGTACCAATATATGCAACTAAAGTTTGTCAATTTACAAAAAGAATTTAAAAATCAAATAAAATGGGCCAGGTGCGATGGCTCATGCCTATAATCCCAGAATTTAGGGAGGGTGAGGTGGGCGGATCACTTGAGGTCCGGAGTTCAAAACCAGCCTGGCCAACATAGCGAAAACCCATCTCTACAAAAAACAATAGAATTAGCTGGCCGGGCGTGGGGGCTCACGCCTGTAATCCCAGCACTTTGGGAGACCGAGGTGGGACGGTTGGATCACCTAAGGTCAGGAGTTCCAGACCAGCCTGGTCAACATGGTGAAACCCTGTCTCTACTAGGTGGGCACGGTGGGGCATGTCTATAATCCCAGCTACATGGAAGGCTGAGGAAGGAGAATCACTTGAACCCTGGAGGCGGAGGTTGTAGTGAGTTGAGATTGCGCCACTGTACTCCACCCTGGGTGACAGAGCAATACTTCATCTCAAAAAAACATAAATAAAACGGTTAAAGTCCTGTGTTGCACCTTTGTGTAAATCCTTACCCTCTAGGGTTTTAAAATGTTTTAAATCCTTAAAACGTTTTAAGGATTACATAATACTGGAAATCCTCCTTGAAAGTGTATAAAAGAAAAGGAATATAGTAAGTTTCTTTGGTTTTGGGGCCAAGTTTTTTTTTTTTTTTTTTTTTTTTGAGACAGAGTTTCACTTTTGTTGCCCAGGCTGGAGTACAGTGGAGCAATCTCGGCTCACTGCAACCTCTACCTCCCAGGTTCAAACGATTCTCCTGCCTCAGCCTCCCAAGTAGCTGGGATTACAGGCACCGGCCACTATGCTCAGCTAATTTTTTGTATTTTTAGTACAGACGAGGTTTCCGCCATGTTGGGCAGGCTGGTCTCGAACTCCTGACCTCAGGTGATCTGCCTGCCTTGGCCTCCCAAAGTGCTGGGATTATAGGCGTGAGCCACTATGCCCGGCCCTTGGGCCAATTCTTAAAGGCCTGTTTTATTAATGAAAGAGATGAACTAGGCCAGGCGCGGTGGCTCACACCTATAATCCCAGCACTTTGGGAGGCCGAGGCGGGCGGATCACCTGAGGTCTGGAGTTCGAGACCAGCCTGACCAACATGGAGAAACCCCATCTCTACTAAAAATACAAAATTAGCCGGGTGTGGTGGCGCATGCCTGTAATCCCAGCTACCCTGGAGGCTGAGGCAGGAGAATGGCTTGAACCTGGGAGGCGGAGGTTGCTGTGAGCCGAGATCGCGCCATTGCACTCCAGCCTGGGCAACAAGAGCGAAACTCTGTCTCAAAAAAAAAAAAAAAAAAAAAAAGAGGAACTAAAGCCTCTGACCATAGCACTTAGTAAAGGCAGCTTAACTGCCAAAACAGCAGGAATTAGGGCTTTCTGTATATATATATATTTTTTTTAAGGCAGGGTCTCACTCTGTTGCCCAGGCTAGAGTGCAGTGGTATGATCACGGTTCATGGCAGCCTCGACCTCCTGGGCTCAATTGATCCTTAGCCTCCTGATTAGCTGGGACTACACGTGTATGCCACCACCCATAGCTAATCTTTTTTTTATATACTTGCCAGGCAGTAGAGGGAACAAATACTTTAGCTTTGAGCCATGGCTCTCCACCGTAATGGAACAATAAAACGATTAAGGGATGCTAAAAAAATACAGATGCCAGGCCTCTCTCAGGCCAATTCAGAATCTCAAAGAGGGCAGTGTAGACATTTAAAGCTGCCCAGGTGTTTGTAATTTGCAGCCAATGTGGAGAAAACCACTGAACTGGGCTGGCCACGGTGGCTCACGCCTGTAATCCCAGCACTTTGGGAGGCCGAGGTGGGAGGATCACTGAGGTTCACCAGTTCAAAACCAGCCTGGGCCAACATGGTGAAAACCCCTGTCTCTACTAAAAATATATAAAATTAACTGGGTGTGGTGGCAGATGCCTGTAATCTCAGCTACTCAGGAGGCTGAGGCAAGAGAATCACTTGAACCCGGGAGGCAGAGGTTGTAGTAAGCCGAGATCATGCCACTGCACTCCAATCTGGGTAACAGAGCAAGACCCTATCTCAAAAAAAAAAAAAAAGAAAAAGAAAAAAAAAAAAAGGAAGAGGCCAGGCTCGGTGGCTCACACCTATAATCCTGGCACTTTGTGGAGGCCTAGGCAGGCAAATCACCTGAAGTCAGGAGTTCGAGACCAGCCTGGCTTACATGGTGAAACCCTGACTCTACTAAAAATATAAAAATTAGCCAGGCATGGTTGTGTGCACCTGTAATCCTTGCTACTTCGGAGGCTGAGGCAGGAAAATCGCTTGAACCGAGGAAGCGGAGGTTGCAGTGAGCCGAGATCCCGCCACTGCTCTCCAGCCTGGGCAACAGAGTCAGACTCCGTCTCAAAAAAGAAAAAGATACCAACACACACAACACACATCACCAAACATCATACGCGTTTATAAATGGGGGCGATAGGAAAGGGTCCAGAAAGGATTTGAAATGACTTATGAGTTTCAATAATTTTTTTTTTTTTGAGACAGAGTCTCGCCCTGTCGCCCAGGCTGGAGTGCAGTGGCGCAATCTCGGCTCACTGCAAGCTCGGCGTCCTGGGTTCACGCCATTTTCCTGCCTCAGCCTCCCGAGTAGCTGGGACTACAGGCGCCGCCACCACACTCTGCTAATTTTTTTTTAGTAGAGACGGGGTTTCACCGTGTTAGCCAGGATGGTCTCGATCTCCTGACCTCGTGATCCACCTGCCTCGGCCTCTCAAAGTGCTGGGATTACAGGCGTGAGCCACCGCGCCCGGCCTAATTTTTAAATAAATAGAGACGGGGGTTGGGTGTCACTATTTGCCCAGGCTGGTCCCGAACTCCGGGCCTCAAATGATCCTCTGCCTGGGCCTGTCCAAAGTGTTGAGATTACAGGCGTGACCTATTACGTCCGACCTGCCTTTTGGGTTTTTGGTTTTTGTTTTGTTTTGTTTAATTGAAGGTTAGGGTGCCTGACAGTCTGCGGGATCGAACTGGGAGGCAAATTCAGATTTCGCTGGGGGAACGGAGTGCGAAGTGTCAGGGTAGCTGGACGCTAAACTGGCGCAGCTGCGCGCGCCCGCGCGCGCGCGGGAAGAGTCCCAGGGTCATTAACGGACCATGGGCTGCTGGGAAACGGCTTAGGAGCAGCACCCGGCTGGCGCTGGCCGGCCGGCGCCGGGGACTTTCTTCCGCCTGGCCAGACAGATCCCTGTTTTTTGTTTTTCAAAATTCAGAAAGCATCTCCGAATATTTGCCCAGAGGAGTGTGAAACATACTTCCCTGGTCTTTCTTTCACTTTGTTTTATTTCTGTGTGGACAAACAATGGGGAAAATGCCGCGCGTCTAGCCAGGCAGATAAGAAAACAACTATACCCGTCAGGCCCCCAACCCGGCGCCGCCATAAATGGCCCCGGCCTCGCCATTTTAGTTCTTTTTGCGAAGTGGGCTCGTGGGTTGGCAGTATGAGAGTTGTAATGGCCCGACTGTTGAGTGAGGGGGAGCAGGGGATCCCAACGGCTTGCGCTGCCTTTGCGCAGCAGCCGGCGGGCGGCCACGTCGCGGCCTGGCTGGGGTAGGAGAGGGCGGTCCCCAGTGCAGTTGGGTGAACTACCGTTGCACACTGGAGTTTCTGGTGTCTTTGCTTGGAACTGACCTAGCTCGTGGCAGGGGGAACTCGGCTAGCGGCCCCACAGCCCCTGCTGACTCAAAACAACTGTGAGTGGGGTTGGGCGAGTGATTGCAAAATGGGGGTGGCGGTCGCCCGGGGATAGGAAGGGAGTGATGATGACCCCAGGTAACTCTGAGTGTGTCGCTGATGCCATCACCGCAGCGCTCTGACCGCCCCCTCGGTCCAGCATTTCTCAGGCTCAACGAGTTCATGGCCAAGATTCCTAATCTTTTGTTCTGTTTCATTTCCCCGTTAGGAGTTGTAAGACGTTCATCGCCGTGTTATCCTTGAGTAAAGGTGAGTATTAGGTGCGAGAGCCTTTTGAATGCCTCTTCGGAAAGCTTTGTTCCCAAGCAAGCTTTCGTTCATGGGCATTATGCGCCTCCCTGCCCTTTTTTTTTTTTTTTTTTTTGAGACAGTCTCGCCTTGTCACCCAGGCTGAAGTGCGGTGGCACGATCTCACTGCAACCTGCGCCTTCTGGGATCAAGCGATTCTCCTGCCTCAGCCTCCCGATTAGCTGGGATTACAGGCGCATGCCACCAAGCCTGGCTAATTTTTTGTATTTTTTAATAGATAAGGGGTTTCACTGTGTTAGCCAGGATGGTCTCGATCTGCTGACCTCGTGATCCGCCCCTCTCGGCCTCCCAAAGTGCTGGGATTACAGGCGTGAGCCACCGCGCCCGGCCTTTTTTTTTTTTTTTTTTTTAAGACAGCCTCCCTGTCACCCTGGCTGGAATGCAGTGGCAAGAACACAATTCAGTGCGGCCTTCAACTCCCGGGTTTAACCGATTCTCCCACCTTAGCCAATTTTTTCCTTTTTTTTTTTTTTTTTTGAGATGGAGTCTTGATCTTGTTGCCCGGGCTGGCAATGGTACGATCTCCCTGCAACCTCTGCCTCCCGGGTTCAATCGATTGTCCTGCCTCAGCCTGCCGATTAGCTGGGACTACAGGCCCGCGCCACCACACTCGGCTAATTTTTCTGTTTTTAGTAGAAGGGGTTTCACCATGTTGGCCAGGATGGTCTCCATCTCCTGACCTCGTGAGCCGCTGTGCCCGGCCACTTTTTCTTTTTTGAGCTATAATCCATGTACCACAGGTGGTGACTTCCATTTGTTTGTTTTTGCTATTTTGTTTTTGAGACAGGGCGCAATGCCAGGATCTCCCTGCAACATCCACCGTCAGGGCTCAAGTGGTCTTTCCACCTCAGCTTCCTGGGACTGCAGGCACGTGCTACCACCACGCCTGGCTAATTTTTAGTTTTTTTACAGAAGCGGGCTTTTGCCATGTTGTCCAGGCTGGTCTCTACTCCTGGGCTCAAGCAGTCCTCCTGCCTCAGTCTCCCAAAGTGCTGGAATTACAGGGGTGAGTTGCTGCGTCTGGTGTTGGTGACTTTCTAGAGATTACTTTTTGGTTTACATCATTTTCCTTGTGACTATTTTTACTTTTTTGGGGGGCGGGGGGACAGTCTTACTCTTTTTAGTTTACATCATTTTCCTTGTGACTATTCTATTTTTACTTTTTTAGGGGGCGGGGGGACATGAGTCTCACTCATGTTGGTCAGGCTGGTCTCAAACTCCTGACCTCAGTTGATCCACGCCCTTCGGCCTCCCAAAGTGCCGGGATTACAGGCGTGAGCCACTTTGCCCGGCCTGTATTTTTACGTTTTAATAAATCCCCGTATTTTTGTTAAAGGCTGGGTAACCTGACTCCTCCCCTCATTTCTACTGCAAAATAGGAGTACACTGGGGCCTCCCAGTGGAGCTGTTCTCTGCTGTTTTAAATTACTTTCTACTCCTCCCTTTCTAACGTCCACTCCTGGACTCATTTGTTAGATCAATATATACTGGGACTGTTGTGTTTTCTTTGAGTGTACTAGATCTCTTTCCAGAAGAGCTTCCCTTGATCCAGATCTCCCTAATTGGGAATGATGATTTCACAGACTAGAGTCTCCGATGCTGGTCATGATGTCAAAACTAAGTTCTGACTCATTTAGGGAACTGGATACTTGGGTCTCCAGAAGGGCCAATGGGAGGGCCATAATTCTGTTTATTTTCAAATTGTCTTGTTTTCACCTTGTTAGAATGAACTCTGGAAGCCCAGCCAGGGACAATGCACCTTCACAGAGATTCTGCACTAATCTGAGTGAAGGTCTAAGGTTTGGAATCTCCCCCTCATGGAGAGAAGCTTTGTATGGCTGTCATGCTTAGACAGTGATTCCTGCAACTTGACCTTCAGGCTGGGAGAGGTGGAGAGCCATGCCTGTTCTCCTTCCTTGCTATGGTGAGTATCTTTTGTTTTGGCTCTCAGTGGGAGTGGTAATGATGATCTGGTTGGACAAGAGTCTCTGAGCTTTTCTCTGAGGATCTTTGAACCCACCTGATCCACCTTCATCCTGCCGGCAATCTCCTGTAATTCATGTTTTTATGGCCAGTTACTTACATGATGAGGTTTAATTGGCTATGGTTCTGCAGGATGTACAGGAAGCATGGTGTTGGCATCTGCTCAGCCTCTGGTGGGGGCCTCAGGAAACTATATTGCATAAGGTACAGAGGGAAGCAGGGATGTAGCATGGCCAGAGCAGCAGCAAAGGCAGGGAGGTGCCACACATTTTTAATAAATTGATCTCTAGAGAACTGACTGTCATGAGCACAGCATCAAGGAGGATGGTGCTTAAGCCATTCATGAGGAATCCACCCCAGTGATCCATTACAATTCAATATGAGATTTGGTGGGGAGACAGATCTAAACTGTATTACAGGGTCTCACTTTGTGCACAGGCTGGTCTTCAACTCCTGCCTCAGTGAGCCACTGTGCCCCACCCCAACATGTTTTGTGTGTTTTTTGAGACTGTCTTGCTCTGTCATCCAGGCTGGAGTGCAGTGGTACACTCTTGGCTTACTGCAGCCTCTGCCTCCCAGGTTCAAG
Source organism: Homo sapiens (assembly GCF_000001405.40). Lineage (NCBI taxonomy): Eukaryota > Metazoa > Chordata > Mammalia > Primates > Hominidae > Homo > Homo sapiens. The sequence goes on from NT_167245.2 coordinate 3,085,859, forward strand.
CAATTCTGCCTCAGCCTCCCAAGTAGCTGGGATTACAGGCATGCGCCACCAGTCCCGGCTAATTTTTGTATTTTTAGTAGAGGGTTTCACCATGTTGGCCGGGCTGGTCTTGAACTCCTGACCAAGAGATCTGCCCACCTTGACCTCCCAAAGTGCTCAGATTACAGGTATTAGCCACCGAGCCCAGCCCGCAACATGTATTTTTATTTATTTTTTGTTTGAGATGGAGTTTCACTTTGTCGCCCAGGCTGGAGTGCAGTGGCACATTCTCAGCTCATTGTAACCTCAGCCTCCCGAGTACTTGGGATTACAGGCATGCGCCACCATGCCCAGCTAATTTTGTATTTTTAGTAGAGATGGGAGTTTTCACCATGTTGGTCTTGAACTCCTGATCTCAGGTGATTTGCCCGCCCTAGCCTCCCAAAGTGCTGGGATTACAGGTGTGAGCCATAGCATCTGACAATTTTATTCTATTTTTTGAGACAGTCTTGCTCTGTCACCCAGGCTGGAGTGCAGTGGTGCAGTCACAGCTCACTGCAGCCTCAACCTCCTGGGTGGAAGCTCACCTCTCACCTCACCCTTGGAGTAGCTAATGACTTACAGGCATGCACCACTATCCCCGGCTAATTTTTTTTTTTTTAAATTTGAGGATGGGTGTGGTGGCTCATGCCTGTAATCTCAGCTCTTTGGGAGGCCAAGGTGGGTGGATCACCTGAGGTCAGGAGTTGAAGACCAGCCTGGCCAACACCGTGAAACCCTGTCTACTAAAAATACAAAAATTAGCTGGGCATGGGTGGCGGGCGCCTGTAATTCCAGCTACTTGGGAGGCTGAGGCAGAAGAATCGCTTGAACCTGGGAGGTGGAGGTTGCAGTGAGCTGATATGGCGCCATTGCACTGCGCCATTGCACTTCACCCTGGGCAACAGAGCAAGACTCCATCTCAAAAAAAAAAAAGCTGTAGATAATGGGGTCCCACTATGGTGCTCAAGCTGGTCTGAAACTCCTGGGCTCAAGTGATTGTCTTGCCTTGGCCTCCGAACACTTCTGCCTTGGCCTCCCAAAGTGTTGGAATTGACAGGCGTGAGCTGCCATGCCCAGCCTCAGCTTTTATTGTAGATTTAGGGGGTATATGTGCAGTTTTGTTACTTGGGTTCATTGTATGATGCTGAGGTTTGGGGTAGGATTATCCCCATCACCCAGGTAGTGGGCATAGTACCCAATAGTTATTAAACCTTTGCCCCATTTCCTCTCCCCAGTGTCTGTTGCCATCTTTATGTCCATGTATACTCAACATTTAGCTCCCACTTACAAGTAAGAACATATGGTATCTGGTTTTCTGTTCTGTATTGATTCACTGAGGATCATGGCCTGTGGTTGCATCCATGTTGCTGCAAAGGATATGAAATCGTTTTTTTATTGGTGCATCTCATATGGTTCTAATGTTCTTTTTATTATTTTTCAGGAATTTGCTGACACAATATCTTCCGCCTGGTGCTGGGCATATCCTAAGAACTTACAACTTTCCTGTATTATCCTGTGTGAGCAGCTGTCACCTTATTGGGGGAAAAATGCCTGAAAATTAGGGGGCACTTCAAGTAGATAGCTTCTATTTCCTATATTTGTCTTATATACAAGTATTTGCTTTTATCAAAATAATTCCAATAAAGCATTTTAAAGTAAAGAAGACGTGGTTTGGTCTCAGAACAATGGTACAAAAAGATTAAGGGGGCTGGGCGCAAGTTGCTCATGCCTATAATCCCAGCACTTTGGGAGGCCGAGGTGGGTGGATCACAAGGTCAGGAGATTGAGATTATCCTGGCCAACATGGTGAAACCCTGTCTCTACTAAAACAAAAAAAGGACAAAAATTAGCTGGGTGTGGTGATACATACCTGTAATCCCAACTACTCGGGAGGCTGAGGCAGGAGAATGGCTTTGAACCAGGGAGTCCAAGGTTGCAGTGAGCCGAGATCGTGCCACTGCACTTCCAGCCTGGCGACAGGCTCCGTCTTAAAAAAAAAGAAAGATGAAGCCCCGTGAGCTAGTTAATGCTGAGTTAGGCTTAACTCTTAAGCCTAATATTAGAGATTCTTGGTTGGGTGACATAGTATTATGTATAATACACTAGACTTTTGACAATCATTTGAGATGGTTTTTCTGGCAGGGGAGGAGGTGGAGTTTCGCCCTTGTTGCCCATGCTGGAGTGCAATGGCAAAATCTCGCCTCACTGCAACCTCTGCATCTTGAGTTCAAGTGATTCTCCTGCCTCACAGCCTCCTGAGTAGCTGGGATTACAGGCGCCTGGCACCTCCCCTAGCTATTTTTTGTACTTTTAGTAGAGACAAGGTTTCACCATGTTGGCCAGGCTGGTCTCGAACTCCTGACCTCAGGTGATCCACCCACCTCAAGCCATCCGCCTGCCTCAGCCTCCCAAAGTGTTGGGATTACAGGTGTGAGCCACTGTGCCTGGCCGAATTTGAGTTTTTTTTAATGATTGTAAAGTGTCCACGGCTACCCAATTAGCCATCTTTTTTTTTTTGAGACAGTTGCACCTTGTCACCTGGGCTGGAATATAGTGGCGCAGTTTGGGTTCACTGCAGCCTCTCCCCGGGTTCAAGTGATTTTCGTGCCTCAGCGTTCCCAGTAGCTGGGGCTACAGCTGCACACCTTATTTTTGTATTTTTTGAAGAGATAGGGGTTTCACCATATTGGCCAGGGTGGTTTCGAACTCCTGACCTCAAATGATGTGCCTGGCCAGAACATTACCAATAACTTTGAAACAAACCTGTCTGATTCAATTTCTCTTTTTCTTCTTCCTACTTGGAGAATTAACTGGGTATATCATCCTCTGGCTTTTCTTAATAGTTTTACTGAGTGCATTGCTAAACAATATCATTTTAATTTTGCGTATCTTTTGAACTTTGTAAAAATGGAATGATTCACCAGACACGAGACAACATTTTTCTTTTTTGGGGGGATGGAGTCTTGCACTGTCGCCCAGGCTAGAGTGCAGTGGCGTGATCTCGACTCATACTGCAATCTCTGCCTCCCAGGTTCACCCCATTATTCTGCCTGGGCCTCCCAAATCACTGGGACTACAGGTGCCCGCCACCATGCCCCGCTAATTTTTTGTATTTCTAGTAGAGATGGGGGTTTCACCATGTTGGCCAGGCTGGTCTCGAACTCCCGACCTTGTGATTTGCCCACCTTGGACTCCCAAAGTGCTGGCATTACAAACAGCCACCATGCTGGCCCATTTTTCATTTTTCAAAAAGAATAAATCTTCATGTGTTCTACTGCAACTTTCTGCTTTTCTGGGGGGCGGGGGGGACAGAGTCTTGCTCTGTCGCCAGGCTGGAGTGCAGTGGCGCGATAGCTCACTGCAACCTCCACCTCCCAGGTTCAAGCGATTTCTCCTCCCTCAGCCTCCCGAGTAGCTGGGACCACAGGCGCGCACCACTATGCCCAGCTAATTTTTGTATTTTTACTAGAGACGGGGTTTCACCACATTGGCCAGGGTGGTCTCCAACTCCTAGCCTCACCGTCCGCCCGCCTCGGCCTCCTGAAATGCTGGGATTACAGGCGTGAGCCACCACGCCTGACATTTACTTATTTCATTTATCTTTGAGATGGAGTCTCGCTCTGTCGCCCAGGCAGCATGTAGTGGCGCGATCTCGGCTCACTGCAAGCTCTGCCTCCCAGGTTCAAGCCATTCTCCTGCCTCAGCCTCCGGAGTAGCTGGGACTACAGGTGCCCGGCTAATTTTTTTGTATTTTTAGTAGAGACGGGTTTCATTGTGTTAGCCAGGATGGTCTTGGATCTCCTGACCTCGTGATCCGCCCGCCTTGGCCTCCCAAAGTGCAGGGATTACAGGCGTGAGCCATCGCGCCCAGCCTTTTTTGTTTTTTGAGACATAGTTTTGCTCTTGTTCCCCAGGCTGGAGTGCAGTGGCACTATCTTGGCTCACCACAACCTCTGCCTCCTGGGTTCAAGCGATTCTCCTGCCTTAGCCTGCCAAGTAGCTGGGATTATATGCCACCACGCCCGGCTAATTTTGTATTTTTATTAGAGATGGGGTTTCTCCATGTTGGTCGGGCTGGTCTCCCGAACTTAGGTGATCCGCCAGCCTCAGCCTCTGAAAGTGAAAGTGCTGTGATTCTAGGCCAGAGCCACCACACCTGGCCTGCAACTTTTGTTGTTGTTCATGTATTTTCCTGTAGTTCATTTGGAGTCCACCCTTCCATACACATTTGTGGACATAAAAAACTTCAGGGCCTGGCATGGTGGCTCATGCCCGTAATCGCAGCTGAGGCGGACAGATCACCTGAGGTCAGGGGTTAGGGACCAGCCTGGCCAACATGGTGAAACCCCATCTCTACTAAAAAAAATATAAAAAAGGGCCAGGCTCACGCCTGTAATCCCAGCACTTTAGGAGGCCGAGGCGGGCAGATCACGAGGTCAGGAGATCAAGACCATCCTGTCTAACACGGTGAAACCCCGTCTCTACTAAAAATACAAAAATCAGCCGGGCGTGGTGGCGGGCGCCTGTAGTCCCAGCTCCTCGGGAGGCTGAGGCAGGAGAATGGCGTGAACCCGGGAGGTGGAGCTTGCAGTGAGTCAAGATCCCGCCACTGCACTCCAGCCTGCGCGACAGAGTGAGACTCCATCTCAATTAGGGCCAGGCATGGTGGCTCACGCCTGTAATCCCAGCACTTTGGGAGGCCGAGGCAGGTGGATCACCTAAGGTCAGGAGTTCGAGACCAGCCTGGCCAACATGGCAAAACCCTGTCTCTACTAAAAATACAAAAATAAATTAGCCAGGTGTGGTGGCACACGCCTGTAATCCCAGCGACTCGGGAGGCTGACGCAGGAGAATCACTTGAACCTGGCAGGCGGAGGTTGCAGTGAGCTGAGATCATGCCATTATGCTCTAGCCTGGGCAACAAGAATGAAACTACATCTCAAAATACATACATACATACATACAGTTAACCGAGCATGGTGGCATGCGCCTGTAAGCCCAGCTACTTGGGAGGCTGAGGCATGAGAATCGCTTGAACCTGAGAGGTGGAGGTTGCAGTGAACCAAGATGGCACCACTGCACTCCAGCCTGGGTGACAGAGTGAGACTGTTTCAAAAAGATTCAGGAGCCAGACTGAACACTTACTGCTAGGTTAACTTTGGCTAAGTTCCTCAGTGATTCCCATAACAATTTCCTTGTTTGTAAATAGATAACAGAGTTCCTACCCACCCTCTTTTTTTTTTTTTTCTTCAGTAGTAGAGATAGGGTTTCACCATGTTGGCCAGGCTGGTCTCAAACTCCTGACTCCAGGTGATTCACCCACCTCCCAAAGTGTTGGGATTACAGGTGTGAGCCACTGCACCGGGCCTACCCTCTCTTTTTTTTGAGACAGGGTGTCACTGTTGCCCAGGCTCGAGTACAGTGGCAAGATTACAGCTCACTACAGCCTTGACCTCCTGGGCTCAAGTGATCCTCCCACCTCAGCCTCTGAAGTAGCTGGAACTACAGGTGCTCCATCATGCCCAGCTAATTTTTTTTTCTTTTTGAAAGAGAATCTTGCTTTGTCGCCCAAGTTGGAGTGCAGTGGTGCAATCTCGGCTCACTGCAAGCTCCACCTCCTGGGTTCACACCATTCTCCTGCCTCAGCCTCCCGACTAGCTGGGACTACAGGCACCCACCACCACGGCCAGCTAATTTTTTGTATTTTTAGTAAAGATGGGGTTTCACCGTGTTAGCCAGGATGGTTTCGATCTCCTGACCTCGTGATCCACCTGCCTTGGCCTCCCAAAGTGCTGGGATTACAGGCGTGAGCTACCGTACCTGACCTTTTTTTTTTTTTTTTGAGACGGAGTCTTGCTCTGTCACCCAGGCTGGAGTGCAGTGGCGCGATCTTGGCTCACTGCAAGCTCTGCCTCTCAGGTTCACGCCATTCTCCTGCCTCAGCCTCCCGAGTAGCAGGAACTACAGGTGCTAGCCACCACGCCTGGCTAATTTTTTTGTATTTTAGGTAGAGACGAGGTTTCACCGTGTTAGCCAGGATGGTCTCGATCTCCTGACCTCATGATCTACCTGCCTCGGCCTCCCAAAGTGCTGGGATTACAGGTGAGCCACCGCGCCCAGCCATGCCCAGCTAATTTTTAAATTTTTTATACAGTGAAGGTTTCACTATATTGCCTGACTGGTGTCTAACTCCTGAAATCAAATGATCTACCTGCTTTGGCCTCCCCAAATGCTGAGATTACAAGCTTGAGCCACCAAGCCCGGCCTATCCCGTCTCTAACAAAAAAGAAGCATAGTGCGGTGGCTCACACCTGCAACCCCAGCACTGTGGGAGGCCATGGTGGGCAGATCTCTTGAACCCAGGAGTTTGAGACCAGTCTGCCTGGGCAACACGGTGAAATCCAGTTCCTACAAAAAATTTTAAAAATTAGCCGGTTGTGATGGCATGCCGTGGTTCAGCTACTTGGGAGGCTGAGATGGGAGAATTGCTTGAGCCCTGGAAGTTGAGGCTGCAGTGAGCCATGATTGTGCCACTGCACTCCAATCTGGGCAACAGAGTGAGCCTTATCTCTAAATAAATAAATGAAGAGGTAGAGTCATGCTCTGTTGCCCAGGTCTGACTTGAACTCCTGGGCTGAAGTGATCCTCCCGCCTCAGCTTCCTCAGTAGCTGGGGCAACAGGCATATGCCACCATACTCAGCTTTGTTGGTTTCATTTCTTGTCCCCAAGGGTCTCTTCTGCATTCCCCTGCCCTTTGTATGGTTCAAGTCCTCCCCTGTGTGGTGGGTGCTAATCCCAGGTTTGGGGTATAAGACTGAGCTACAGCCATGGTAAGATGGTCACGTGAACTTCTTTTCTCACACAGTGGTGATGCTGAAAGACCTCAACCCCAAAATGCTATTTTCCTCATTTCTTTTTTTTTTTTTTTGAGACGGAGTCTCGCTCTGTCGCCCAGGCTGGAGTGCAGTGGCGCGATCTCGGCTCACTGCAAGCTCCGCCTCCCGGGTTCACGCCATTCTCCTGCCTCAGCCTCCCGATTAGCTGGGAATACAGGCGTCCACCACTACACCCGGCTAATTTTTTGTATATTTAGTAGAGACGGGGTTTCACCGTGTTAGCCAGGATGGTCTCGATCTCCTGACCTCGTGATCCACCCGCCTTGGCCTCCCAAAGTGCTGGGATTACAGGCGTGAGCCACCGCCGGCCTATTTTCCTCATTTCTTTAGGCCCCATTTCCATACCAGGAGTGGAGCAACTTCAGTAATAAACAGTCCTCCTTCCCATCCTCCCAGGCTGAACTCCCCAGCTTGCAGTTACTCTAATAGCGGCTAGCCTGCTACTTCAGCTACTGTAGGCAGTGAGCCTCCTAAGGCTTGGCCTCAGCCTGTCTCCCCACAGAAATGGGAGACAAGAATCCTTGGAATCCTTACCCACTGGCCAGTGTGCTGGCCCTCCAGGTGACACCTCTACCTGCCAGTTGCTTAGGCTAGACCCTTGGAATCTGCCTGACTGCTCTCCTGTTCTCACATGCTACATCTAATTTGTCAGCAAATCATACTGTCTGTATCTTAGAAATGACACGAGGATCTGTGTCTCACACCTTTACTGCTGCTCCATCCTGGTGGGAGCCACCATTGGCTCTCACCTAGACAACTGCAACTGTCTCCTACCTGGTCTCCTGGCTTCCACTTTTGCCCGTTACAGGCTCTCTCCACACAGCAGCCAGAAGGTTCCTTCCAAATCAGGAGTCAGGTCATGTCTCCCCTCTTCTGAAGATCCTGTAACAGCTGCCATTTCACTCAGAGTAAAAGTCTCCATCTTACAAGGGCCACCCAACAAGGTCCTCCCAGTCTAGCTCTGTCAACTTTCTGACCTCATCTTCTACACCTGAGGTTAGGGGTTGGGGACCAGCCTGGCCAACATGGTGAAACCCCATTTCCACTCTGCTTCAGCCATGCTACAGAAACCCAGGAGCTGCTTGGAGCTCTTTTGTCAGTGTTCGAGGAGTAAAATTTCTACCCATTGGCCAGAGTCACAGCCGCAGGCTTTGTGGGGTACACCCAAACCTGCACCAACAGAACTCATGGATGAAATTTGCATCTTTTGGGTTGTGAGGAAATTCTAGAGCCCAGAAATAACCTTAAAAACTTTTGGGGCTGGGTGCAGTGTCTCATGCCTGTAATTCCAGCGCTTTGGGAGGCCGAAGCAGGTGGATCACTTGAGGCCAGGAGTTTGAGACCAACCTGGTCAACATGGCGAAACCCTGTCTCTACTAAAAATACAAAAATTAGCCAAGTGTGGTGGTGCACACCTGTAATCCCAGATACTCTGATGGCTGAGGCATGAGAATTGCTTGAACCCAGGAGGTGGAGGTTGCAGTGAGCCAAGATTGAACCCCTGCACTCCAGCCTGGGCAAAAGCATGAGACTCTGTCTCAAAAAAAACAAAACCAACAACTAGTGGTACGTAATGTTTACATATTAGTTGTATGTAACATTAATATATGTTTACATACTGGTAGTATGTAAGCATATGTAATGTGCCTGGCCTCTCATTTCTTATTTTTGCATGTCTGAAATATTTCTTAGTATCTTAAAAACATAGCTTGGGGGCTGGGTATGGTGACTCATGCCTGTAATCCCAGCACTTTGGGAGGCCAAGGTGGGAGGATCACCTGAGCCCAGGAGTTCGAGACCAGCCTGGGTAATATTGCAAGACACCATCTCTAAAAATAAAAACCAAAAAAAACAACAAAGATACACAATAAACAAGATAAATAGCAGACCAACTAAATGAAGAATTAGTGAGTTGGAGGGAGAAATAATCCATAATGTGGAGCAGAGAAATCAGAGGTGATATGAAAAGGAAGTTTTGAAACATGAAGGATGGAATGAGATACTCCAACTCCAGAGCTGCTTTGTTTTTGTTTTTGAGATGGGAGTCTTGCTCTGTTGCCCAGGCTGGAGTGCAGTGGCATGATCTCAGCTCACTGCAACCTACGCCTCCCAGGTTCAAGCGATGCTCCTGACTCAGCCTCCTGAGTAGCTGGGATTACAGGTGGTGCCACCACGTCTGGATAATTTTTGTATTTTTAGTAGAGACAAGGTTTCACCGTGTTGGTCAGGTTGGTCTTGAACTCCTGACCTTGTGATTCACCTGCCTCGCCCTCCCAAAGTGCTGGGATTACAGGCGTGAGCCACTGCACCCAGCCTACTTTGTTTGTTACATGGATTTGTTACCTGCAGCCAGAACAGCCACAGAGCCATCATGAGCTCTGCTGCCCAATGGCGTACAGGGGTACCTGGTTTTTAGCATCTCAGGCCCATCTGTTAGTTTGTTGATTGTAGTACTTTCTTTTCATTAGCATTCTACTTTCCCATGACTTTTTTTGGGGGGGAGTGGGGTGGACAGGGTCTCACTGTGTTGTCCAGGCTGTAGTGCACTGGAGCCATCTTGGCTCACTGCAGCCTCTGCCTCCTGAGCCACCAAGCCTGGCTGTTTTTTTTTTTTTTTTTTTTAATTCTTGTGTTATTTTCCAAAGACTATATAAAGAAACAAATTATCCTAAGGGTTAAAGTACCTGCTGACTCTTGAAATGTTAAACTTTATTGCCTCCAGTCAGGTGAACCTCAGGTGGAAGTGGGTCACATTCTAGGCTGGCTGTTGCCTGTCTTAAATTCTAAAGAATGTAGTGAAGATAAAGGTGTCAGCTGATAATCCCCAGTTATTTACTGATGGCAGATAATAAACTGGGAAGGGGGAGCCTTCTTCAAAGGGCCTTGCAGCATTAGCTGGTACCACCTTGAAACAGGGAGCAAGTCCCATCTCCTAGTGCCACCCAGGGAATACCTGTGCTCCACACTGGGTTGATTGCCTCTAAAAGAGGCAGAGGAACTGTTATAAAACAAAAAAAAAACTTTTAAAAGTTTTGGTTGGGCGTGGTGGCTAATGTCTGTAATCCCAGTACTTTGGGAGGTCAAGGCAGGAGGATTGCTGGAGTGCAGGAGTTTGAGGCCAGCCTGGGCGGAGACCACTTCTCTACAAAATTAAAAAATTAGGTGTACTCCCAAGCACCTGTAGTCCCAGCTACTTGGGAGGCTGAGATGGAAGGATCACTTGAGCCCAGAAGGTCGAGGCTACAGAGCCATGATTGTTCCACTCACTGCTCTCCGGCCTGTGTGACAGACCAAGACCCTGTATCTAAAAGGAAGAAAAAAGAAAATTGGCAAAAACAATGATATTAGCATCTGTATGTACTTATATTTGGTAGGATCATTTCAAAGTATATTAAAGAGATTATGACATTTTATCCCTTTGTATTTGAGTATGCATCTCCAAAAAATAAGGATGTTCATCTGCATATTCACAATACTATTATACCTGAGAAAAGCAAATTTAATTCCCTAATAGCACTTAATATTCAGGCCAGTTACCATGGCTCACACCTGTAGTCCCAGCACTTTGGAAGGCCGAGGTTGGTGGATTGCTTGAGCCCAGGAGTTCAAGACCAGCCTGGGCAACATGTCGAGACCTCGTGTCTTCAAAAAATACAAAAATTAGCAGGTGTGGTGGCACACACCTGTGGTTCCAACCACTCATGGGGCTGAGGTGGGAGGATTGCTTGAGCCTGGGAGGTCAAGGCTGAAGTGAGCTATGATTGCAGTACTGCACTCCAGGCTGGGTGACAGAGTGAGACCCTGTCTTTAAAAGAAGTGTGTTGTTGAGCACAGTGGCTCACGGCTGTAATCCCAGCACTTTGGGAGGCGGAGGCAGGTGGATCACCTGAGGTCAGGAGTTTGAGACCAGCCTGGCCAACATGGAGAAACCCCATCGCTACTAAAAATACAAAAATTAGCCGGGTGTGGTGGTGAACACCTGTAATCCCAGCTACTCTTGAGAATCTGAGGCAGGAGAATTACTTGAATCTGGGAGTCGGAGGTTGCAGTGAGCCGAGATCATGCCACTGCACTCTAGCCTGGGTGACAGAGCGAGACTCTGTCTCAAAAAAAAAAAAAAAAAAAAGTGTGTGTGTGAGTGTGGCTGGGGGGAGAGAGTGAGAGAGTAGAGGAGGAAAAAGTTTAAAACAGTTTGGGAGTTTGGAGAGTTTTTCGTGAAACACAGACTCATCAACCTTTTTATTTTTTCACTCTAATTTTTTTTTTCTTCAGACAGAGTCTTGCTCTGTTTCCCAGGCTGGAGTGCAGTGGCACCATCTCAGCTCACTGCAAGCTCTGACTTCCAGGTTCACTCCATTCTCCTGCTTCAGCTTCCCAAGTAGCTGGGACTACAGGCTCCCGCCACCACGCCCGGCTAATATTTTGTATTTTTAGTAGAGACAGTGTTTCACCGTGTTAGCCAGGAGGTCTGGATCTCCTGACCTTGTGATCCGCCCGCCTTGGCCTCCCAAAGTGCTGGGATTACAGGCATGAGCCACCGTGCCCGGCCTAAAAAAATTTTTTATAAAAGTATTTGACCTAATGTGCTGTGGGTTTCTTATTTGTTTGTTTTTGAGACAAGTTTCTTGCCCTGTCGCCCAGGTTTGAGGGCAGTGGTGCGGTCTTGGTGCACTACAGCCTCTACCTCCTGGGCTCAAGTGACCCTCTCACCTCAGCTTCCCATGTAGCTGAAACTACAGGTGTGGGCCACTGCCCCAGCTAATTTTTAAATTTTTTGTAGAGATGAGGTCTTGCCATGTTGCCCAGGCTGGTCTCAAACTCCTGGGCTCAAATGATCTGCCCGTCTTGGCCTTCCAAAGTACTGGGACTGGGATTACAGGCATGTAATTACCGCCTCTGGCCAGCTTTTTTTTTTTTTTTTTTTTTTTGAGACAGAGTCTCGCTCTTGTTGCCGAGGCTGGAGTGCAGTGGCGTGATCTCGGCTCACTTCAGCCTTCCCCTCTCGGGTTCAAGCGATTCTCCTGCCTCAGCCTCCTCAGTAGCTGGCATTACAGGCATGCACTACCACGCCTGGCTAATTTTTGTATTTTTAGTAGAGACGGGGGTTTCACCATGTTGGCCAGGCTGGTCTTGAACTCCTGACCTCAGGTGATCCGCCCGCCTTGGCCTCCCCAAAGTGCTGGGTGGCGTGAGCCACTGTGCCCAGCCTAATTTTGTATTTTTAGTAGAGACTGGGTTTCTCCATGTTGGTGAGGCTGGTCTTGAACTCCTGACCTCAGGTGATTCGCCTGCCTTGGCCTCCCAAAATGCTGGGATTACAGACATGAGCCACCGCGCCCGGCCTCTTTTTTTTTTTTTTTTGGGACAGAGTCTCACTGTGTCACCAGGCTGGAGTGCAGTGGCATGATCTCGGCTTACTGCAACCTCTGCCTCCCAGGTTCAAGCGATTCTTCTGCCTCAGCCTCCCGAGTAGCTGAGACTACAGGGGCATGCCACCACACCCAGCTAATTTTTGTATTTTTAGTAGAGACCAGCCTGGTCAACATGGTGAAAACCCATCTCTACTAAAAATACAAAAAATTAGCCAGGTGTGGTGGTGGGCACCTATAATCCCAAATACTCAGGAGGCTGAGGCAGGAGAATCACTTGAACCTGGGACACGGAGGTTGCAGTGAGTTGAGATCACGCCACTGCACTCCAGCCTGCCTGGGCAACAGAGCAAGACTCTGTCTCAAAAAAAAAAAAAAATCCCAGAGTATTAGGAAAAGGAAGACCTATACTTCTACTATGGTAATTTGAGTCTGTTGTGGTTTTGTTGTTGTTGTTGTTGTTGTTGGAAAGATGTCCAAGCCATTGCTTTGATCTTCCTTCCCAATCCTTTCTTGGGCAAAAATTATTAGATGGCTATGGGTGGGCAGGCCTGTAACTCTAGCACTTTGGGAGGCCGAGCGGGTGGGGTGGTCAAGGATCACTTGAGCCCAGGAGTTTAAGACCAGCCTGGGCAACATAGTGGGACCCTGTTTCTACAAAAATGAAAATATTAGCTGGGCTTGGTGGCAAGTGCCTGTAGTCCCAGCTACTCAGGAGGCTGAGGTGGGAAGATTGCTTGAACCCAGGTGGTCAAGGTTGCAGTGAGCTGTGATCATGCTACTGCACTCCAGCCTGGGTGACAGAGTAAGACCCTGTCTCAAAAAAAAAAAAAAATACTTTTTCCTATTCCCTCCTTGTCATGACTTTTGGTTGGAAGGATTACATTAGCAAAAAAGTATCCATGGTCCCTGGTCCCTGGTATTTGCTGTTCAGGTCAGTGTTCATTGTTACTGTCTCTTTCCCTTATTTAAGGGACAGCTGAGAAGACAGAGAGAGCTTGAGCTGGTTTGATCCTAAGCAAAGGGGCTGGGAGTGGGGATCAATGTGTGAAGGGAAGGAGGGCCATGCAAGGTGAAAGGGGATGTTGGGGAAAGGGTTTCATGCTAGAATTTGGCTGCTGATCCAGCGGGCACTCACCAGGCAATGATGTGCAAAGTCCACCGTAAAAAGAAAACAAAACTTCAGGACTCTAAGTTTATGCCAAGATGGAAGTTAAGCCTTGGAGACTGAGTCATGTAGCATGTTTGCAATTCTGCTTCTTACAGACTCTCCTCCTCATTGCTCTTGTTCTGTAATGAGACCTCCTTTCCAATCACTGATCTTTGTTGTAGATTAACTGCCTCCTTTATTGTCCTGTACCTGACTCAGACCAGATGGCACCCAAGACCCCATGACTATTGCATCTTCAGTGTGGAATGTAAAAAACACCTTCCCCCACCCCCCAAAAAAGAAAAAAAAAATTGACTAATCAGATCATTGTAACTATGCAATAAGCCTTACCATAGAACTGAGAGTTGACAGCGTGCTGACAGCCCTCGCAGCCCTTGCTGGCTCTCGGCGCCTCCTCGGCCTTGGCGCCCATTCTGGCCGCGCTTGAGGAGCCCTTCAGCCCGCCACTGCACCGTGGGAGCCTTCTCTGGGCTGGCCGAGGCCGGAGCCGGCTCCCTCGGCTTGCGGGGAGGTGTGGAGGGAGAGGCGCGGGCGGGAACCGGGGCTGCACGCAGCGCTTGTGGGCCAGCGCAAGTTCCGGGTGGGCGTGGGCTCGGCTGCCCCGCTCTTGGAGCGGCAGGCTGGCCCACAAGCCCCGGGCAGGGCAGTGAGGGGTTTAGCACCTGGGCCAGCAGCTTGCTGTGCTCGATTTCTCACGGGGCCTTAGCTGCCTCACCACAGGACAGGACTCAGGACCTGCAGCCCGCCATGCCTGAGCCCCAACCCCGCCGTGGGCTCCTGTGCTGCAGAGCCTCCCCGACGAGCGCCACCCCCTGCTCCACGGCCCCCAGTCCCATCAACCTCCCAAGGGCTGAAGAGTGCAGGCGCATGGGGCAGGACTGGCAAGCAGCTCCACCTGCGGCCCCAGTGCGGGATCCACTGGGTGAAGCCAGCTGGGCTCCTGAGTGTGGTGGGGACTTGGAGAACCTTTATGTCTAGCTAAGGGATTGTAAATACACCAATCGGCACTCTGTATCTAGCTCAAGGTTTGTAAATATACCAATCAGCATCCTGTGTCTAGCTCAGGGTTTGTAAATGCACCAATCGACACTGTATCTAGCTAATCTAGTGAGGACATGGAGAACTTTTGTGTCTAGCTCAGGGATTGTAAACGCACCAATCAGCACCCTGTCAAAATGGACCAATCAGCTCTCTGTAAAACGGACCAATCAGCTCTCTGTAAAATGGACCAATCAGCAGGATGTGGGTGGGGCCAGATAAGGGAATAAAAGCAGGCTGCCTGAGTGAGTAGTGACATCCCGCTCTGGTCATTTTCCATAGAGTGGAAAGTTTGTTATTTCCGTTTTTGCAATAAATTTTATTGCTATTTGTTCTTTGGGTCCACACTACTTTTATGAGGTGTAACACTCACCGCAGGGGTATGCAGTTTCACTCCTGACGCTAGCGAGAGCACGAACCCCCCGGGAGGAACAAACAACTCCAGAGGCGCCGCATTTAAGAACTGTAACACTCCCCGTGAGGGTCTGCGGCCTCATTCTTTAAATCAATGAGACCAAGAACCCACCAATTGTGAACACAGAACAATGTTGAAATTCTAAGTTTCCATAAACTTTCTGTTTATATAAGCGATTCCAAACTTCTACACTTTTGGAACATAGACTAATATTCTTTGGAATCTTCAGCTCTAGACGGGCCACTTCCTCAACATTTGCAGTTGGATAAACTCTTTTTTTTTTTTTTTTTTTTTTTTAAATTTATTTTTTTATTGATAATTCTTGGGTGTTTCTCACAGAGGGGGATTTGGCAGGGTCATGGGACAATAGTGGAGGGAAGGTCAGCAGATAAACAAGTGAACAAAGGTCTCTGGTTTTCCTAGGCAGAGGACCCTGCGGCCTTCCGCAGTGTTTGTGTCCCTGATTACTTGAGATTAGGGATTGGTGATGACTCCCAACGAGCACCCTGCCTTCAAGCATCTGTTTAACAAAGCACATCTTGCACCGCCCTTAATCCATTTAACCCTGAGTGGACACAGCACATGTTTCAGAGAGCACAGGGTTGGGGGTAAGGTCACAGATCAACAGGATCCCAAGGCAGAGGAATTTTTCTTAGTGCAGAACAAAATGAAAAGTCTCCCATGTCTACTTCTTTCTACACAGACACGGCAACCATCCGATTTCTCAATCTTTTCCCCACCTTTCCTGCCTTTCTATTCCACAAAGCCGCCATTGTCATCCTGGCCCGTTCTCAATGAGCTGTTGGGCACACCTCCCAGACGGGGTGGTGGCCGCGCAGAGGGGCTCCTCACTTCCCAGTAGGGGCGGCCGGGCAGAGGCGCCCCTCACCTCCCGGACGGGGCGGCTGGCCGGGCGGGGGGGCTGACCCCCCCCACCTCCCTCCCGGACGGGGCGGCTGGCCGGGCGGGGGGCTGACACCCCCACCTCCCTCCCGGACGGGGCGGCTGGCCGGGCAGAGGGGCTCCTCACTTCCCAGTAGGGGCGGCCGGGCAGAGGCGCCCCTCACCTCCCAGACGGGGCGGCTGGCCGGGCGGAGGGCTGACCCCCCCACCTCCCTCCCGGACAGGGCGGCTGGCCAGGCGGGGGGCTGACCCCCCCACCTCCCTCCCGGACCGGGCGGCTGGCCGGGTGGGGGGGCTGACCCCCCCATCTCCCTCCCGGACGGGGTGGCTGGCCGGGCTGAGGGGCTCCTCACTTCCCAGTAGGGGTGGCCGGGCAGAGGCACCCCTCACCTCCCGGACGGGGCGGCTGGCCGGGCGGGGGGCTGACCCCCCCACCTCCCTCCCGGACGGCACGGCTGGCCAGGTGGGGGGCTGACCCCCCCACCTCCCTCCCGGATGGCACGGCTGGCCGGTCGGGGGGGCTGACCCCCCACCTCCCTCCCAGATGGGGCGGCTGGCCGGGCGGGGGGTTGACCCCCCCCACCTCCCTCCCGGACGGGGTGGCTGCCGGGCGGAGATGCTCCTCACTTCCCAGATGGGGTGGCTGCGGGGCGGAGAGGCTCCTCACTTCTCAGACGGGGCAGTTGCCGGGCGGAGGGGCTCCTCACTTCTCAGACGGGGTGGTTGCCAGGCAGAGGGTCTCCTCACTTCTCAGACGGGGCGGCCGGGCAGAGACGCTCCTCACCTCCCAGACGGGGTCTCGGCCGGGCAGAGGCACTCCTC
The DNA here is from genome assembly GCF_000001405.40 of Homo sapiens. NCBI lineage: Eukaryota > Metazoa > Chordata > Mammalia > Primates > Hominidae > Homo > Homo sapiens. The sequence continues at coordinate 3,102,495 of NT_167245.2, forward strand.
ACATCCCAGATGGGGCGGCGGGGCAGAGGCGCTCCCCACATCTCAGACGATGGGCGGCCGGGCAGAGACGCTCCTCACTTCCTAGATGTGATGGCGGCTGGGAAGAGGCGCTCCTCACTTCCTAGATGGGATGGCGGCCGGGCGGAGACGCTCCTCACTTTCCAGACTGGGCAGCCAGGCAGAGGGGCTCCTCACATCCCAGACGATGGGCGGCCAGGCAGAGACGCTCCTCACTTCCCAGACGGGGTGGCGGCCGGGCAGAGGCTGCAATCTCGGCACTTTGGGAGGCCAAGGCAGGCGGCTGGGAGGTGTAGGTTGTAGTGAGCCGAGATCACGCCACTGCACTCCAGCCTGGGCACCATTGAGCACTGAGTGAACGAGACTCCGTCTGCAATCCCGGCACCTCGGGAGGCTGAGGTTGGCGGGATCACTCGCGGTTAGGGGCTGGAGACCTGCCCGGCCAACACAGCGAAACCCCGTCTCCACCAAAACCAGTCAGGCATGGCGGCGCGTGCCTGCAATGGCAGGCACTGGGCAGGCTGAGGCAGGAGAATCAGGCAGGGAGGTTGCAGTGAGCCGAGATGGCAGCAGTACAGTCCAGCTTCGGCTCCGCATGAGAGGGAGACCGTGGGGAGAGGGAGACAGAGGGAGAGGGAGGGAGAGCCGGTGGATAAACTCTTTAAACTAGATTCTAAGCCTGGTACAGTGGTATGTGCCTGCAGTCCCAACTCTATCTACTCTAGGAGGCTGAGGCAGGAGGATCCCTTGAACTTCAGTCTGAATCTAACCTGGGCAACATGGCAAGACTCCATCTGTAAAAAGCAACAACACTAGATTCTCAGCTTTTGTTCGTTTGTTTAAGACAGTCTCGCTGTGTCTCCCAGACTGGAATGCAATGGTATGATCTTGGCCCACTGTAACCTCTCGCTCCCGGGTTCAAGCGATTCTCCTTCCTCAGTCTCCTGAATAGCTGGGACTACAGGCGCGACCCACAACACCCAGCTAATTTTTGTATTTTTGGTAGAGACGGGGTTTCGTCATGTTGACCAGGATGGTCTTGAACTCCTGACTTCAGGTGATTCGCTTGCCTCTGCCTCCCAAAGTGCTGGGATTATAGGTGTGAGCCACAGCGCCTGGCCTAGATTCTGAACTTTTTAATTATTATTTTTTAGATTGATAACACTTACCCCGATTTTTTTTTTTTTGAGGGAGAGTCTCGCTCCATAGCCCAGGCTGGAGTGCAGTGGCATGATTTCAACTCACTGCAATCTCCGTCTCCCAGGTTCAAGCGATTCTCCTGCCTTAGTCTCCTGAGTAGCTGGGATTGTAGGTGCCTGCCACAATGCCTGGCTAATTTTTTGAATTTTTAGTAGAGACAGTGTTTCACCATGTTGGCCAGACTGGTCTTGAACTCCTGACCTCAAGTGATCCCCCTTCCTCAGCCTCCCAAAGTGCTAGGATTACAGGCGTGAGCCACCGTGCCCAGCCAACTTGCCCCAATTTTTAAATAACTTATTTTATTTTATTTTTTAAATATTTCCTTGGCCGGGTGGGGTGGCTCACACCTGTAATCCCGGCACTTTGGGAGGCCGAGGCGGGCGTATTGCCTGAGGTCAGGAGTTCGAGACCAGTCTGGCCAACATGGTGAAACCGGGTCTCTACTAAAAATACCAAAAAATTAGCCGAGCGTGGTGGCAGGCGCCTGTAATCCCAGCTACTTAGGAGGCTGAGGCAGGGGAATTGCTTGAACCAGCGAGGCAGAGGTTGCGGGGAGCCAAGATTGCGCCACTGCACTCCAGCCTGGGCAACAGAGCAAGACTCCGTCTCAAAAAAAAAAAAAAAATTTCCTCACAGAGTAGAGCTAACTCATAAGCAGTGTGCCCAGAGTCGGCCCACTTTGTCCCATTAGTACAAACAAGCTCTTTCCCCTTTCAGTCTCCTGCCACTTGTCCCAATCTTTCCTGTGTATTTTTTTTTTTTTTAAGATGAAGTCTTGCTCTGTCGCCCAGGCTGGAGGGCAGTGGCATAATCTCGGCTCACTGCAACCTCTGCCTCCCAGGTTCAAGTGAGTCTCCTGCCTCAGGCTCCCGAGTAGCTGGGACTACAGGCGTGTGCCACCACATATGGCTAATATTTGTATTTTTAGTAGAGATGGGGTTTTACCATGTTGGCCAGGCTGGTCTAGAACCCCTGACCTTGTGATCCGCCCACCTCGGCCTCCCAAAGTGCTGGGATTACAGGCGTGAGCCACTGCACCTGACCCTTCCCTGTGTATTAAAAGAAAAAAAAAAAGCTGGAAAAAAAAGGTTCTTTAACTATTTCTGCAACTTTGACATACATATAATTCATTTTAGCTGGACACTTGCACTTGTTTAAAAGTTCTGACCCTGGTTTTCAAACTTAAACGTATTACGAATCACCCAGAAGGCTTGTTAATGCCTGGTGGCTCCAACACCAGAGCTTCAGATTCCATGGGTCTGTAAAGAGTGAGGGAGGGAAGGTCAAGCTTTTTTTCTTTCTTGAAGGTTTTTTGTTTTGGTTTGGTTTTTTGGAGATGAGGTCTCACTCTGTCACCTAGGTTGGTGTGCAGTGGTGCAATCATAGCTCACTACTGCCTCGAACTCCTGGGGTCAAAGAGATCAAGCCATCCTCCCATGTAGCTAGGACTATAGGTGTGCGTTACCATGCTTGGCTAATTTTTAAATTTTTTAGACATGGGGTATTGCCATGTTGCCCAGGATGCCCTTTAATTTGATCATCCTGCCTTGGTCTCCCGAAGTGCTAGCATTACAGATCTGAGCCACCACACCTAGCCAGGAAGGTAGTGTCTGTCTCTCAAGCCTCCCAGCACTTCTGTTTCTAACAGGTAGTAGTTCATGGGTCAGACATTCATAGTGTCCTTTCCTTTTTGTCTTCCACTATTTCTTTTTCTTTTTTTTTTTGAGCAAGGGCTCTCCCACTTACCTGCAGGCTGAACAGATTCTTTTCATAAGCATCTGCCTGGGGAATATTTTCTTACATAATTTGCCATAGGAAGTGCTCACTTCTCTGTCAGGCTAGCTGGGACAGGATTCCCATCTGCATTTCACACACTTGCACCCTATTTCATGGAGGATGGTATCCTACCCCATGTTAGAAATATAAAACAGCGTGGATTTTTTTTTTTTCAGACGGAGTCTCACTCTGTTGCCGAGGCTGGTGTGCAGTGCTGTGATCTCAGCTCACTGCAAACTCCGCCTCCTGGTTCAAGTGATTCTCCTGCCTCAGCCACCTGAGTAGCTGGGACTATAAGTGTAAGCCAACACGCCTGGCTAGTTTTTGTATTTTTAGTAGAGATGGGATTTCACCATATTGGCCAGGCTGGTCTCGAACTCCTGACCTTGTGATCCGCCCACCTTGGCCTCCCAAAGTGCTGGGATTATATGTGTGAGCCACCACGCTTGGCCAAGTGTGGATTTTAAAATATCTTACAGGCTGGGTGCAGGGGCTCAAGCCTGTAATCCCAGCACTTTGAGAGAACATGGCCGGCAGATTGCTTGAGCTCAGCAGTTTGAGACCAACCTAGGCAATATAGTGAGACTTTGTCTCTACTAAAAATTAAAAAAATCAGCCCGCCGGCACCATGGCTCATGCTTGTAATCACAACACTTTGGGAGGCCGAGGCGGGTGGATCACCTGAGGCCAGGAGTTTGAGACCAGCCTGGCCAACATGGTGAAACTCCGTCTCTACTAAAAATACAAAAATTAGCCGGGTGTGGTGGTGGGCACCTGTAATCCCAGCTATTCGGGAAGCTGAGGCAGAAGAATCGCTTGAACCTGGGAGGCAGAGGTTGCAGTGAGCCGAGATCGCACCACTGCACTCTAGCCTGGGTGCCAGAGCAAGACTCCATCTCAAAAAAAAAAAAATTAAATTAAAAAATAAATAAATAAAAAATAAAAAATATCTTATGGCACTCCCTTCATACTCATTACACCTGTGAAGATCAACCTGTTTCTCGGTGATAAGAAGGAATGTAGGCTGGGTGCGGTGGCTCATAGCTGTAACCTCAGCACTTTGGGAAGCTGAGGCATGAGGATTGCTTAAGCACAGGAGTTCCATACCAGCCTGGGCAACATAGCGCAACCTTGTCTCTACTGAAAATAAAAATTAAAAAAATTAACCAGGCATGGTGTCACTGACCTGTAGTCCCAACTACTCCGGAGGCTGAGACGTGAGGATCACTTGAGCCCAGGAGGTTGAGGCTTCAGTGAGCCGTGATTGTGCAACTGCACTCCAGCCTGGGTGACAGAGCGAGCCCTGTCTCAAAAAAAGCAACAACAAAAAAAGAGGGCATGTCAAAAGGAAAAGAGGATTTGATTTGCCAAAGTCAGATTTTCACAGGCAGTACGCACATCAGGTCTCTCCCCAGAACTCACCCAGGCTCACAAGGATACATGAGGAAAACAGACACGAAGATGTGCATTGACAGAACCATAGAGACTCTACAAATATTCATTATCCTTCATTAAAAATTTTAAGTTACAAACATTTTGATTGATAGTCAGTCATGGTGGTGCACCTAGTCCTTACTCTGAAACCAAATATCCTGCCATCTGGGGACTTTCACCAGCCCTGTCGGTTATCTTACCGCAACACCAAAGAGGAGGCTCAGCCTTCCCCAGTTCCCTGAGTTCACATTGATTCAATTCTACAGCTCACTAGACCTGCCCAAGACAGGACCAATCAATGTCCCGGGAGGGCAGAGAGGGTGGTGGGGCCACACTTAGCCATATGGAAAGACAGTATTCTCAGATGAGGGCAGGACTTTTTTGTGGGAGAGGACGCCTAGCTTTCAGTCCTAAAGGAAGTGATTTCCCTGGTAAAGGGAAGGTGATTTTGCCAAGGCTGGAGTCTAAAGGAAGATGGAACTGTCTTTCAGGCGTCTCCAGCAGACCCTCTACAGACCCGTGTTCCTGAAGGCAGAGTCCTGAAGGCAGAATACCCCTGTGGCAGTGGCACAGCTCAGAGTGTCCCATAGACACTGATTTTGGCCACGGAGATGCTCTCTGTGTAGTGGTTCCGGCCTTTCTCATACAGGACGTAGAGCTGGGGGGCCTGCTCCTCTCCATCCATGCTGCCCTCCAGGGTTGCCAGGGATGAATAGCCACTGGGGCCTGGCCATAGCTGGACTGTCTCTTTCCGCCATGAGGTACCATTGCTGAAGCTCCATCGCAGGGTCAGGTTCACTCCTGGGGAGAGCAGGAGAGTCAGGGAGAGAGGGTCTCTGCCCAGGCCTTGTCTAGACACAGGGCTCTCCCTGCTGACCCCACCCATGAGGCACTCACGGAACTCTGGATGTGCTGGGTTGGAGAAGAAGACAATGCCGGAGCTGGTGACTACAGCTCCTGCAGCTACCACAGGGTCCACGAGCTCAGGGTCGAAGGTCACATCACGGGGCCTTAGTGTATCACAGGCATCATAGCTGCGGAGGACAATTCGGCAGTGGCAGTGGTAGTTGTTCTGGTTTCGGGCATTGATGACGACTGAGCCATCTGGGAGCTCATAGGGCTGAGGGGAGAGGACAGGACCTCAGGGAGGGAACAGGGAAAATGCCCTGTCCCCGAGGGGAGCAAGGGTGTGTGGCACTGAGTGGAGCAGTCAGACCCTGGGTCTGTGCGTGAAATGATGTTCTGGAGGGCAGGGAGGGTCAAATGGGTAGGGAACATCTCATGGACTCCTGACCTGGCATTCATCAGGATTGAAATCATTTTCCTGCTTGGGCTGACCGTAGGGGATGCCGCTGACCCCACTTCCGTAGCGCCAGGAGGCACCATGATCATCGCTGAGGAGACAGAAGACTCCGTCCCGCTCCAGCGTCCCATGGCCACACACGATGAGGCGGCCCTTCCGTGGCTCCCGCTGTTTCTGTGGGAAAGGGAACTGGGTGTCACAGAAGGAGACTCTAGGGGCTCAGAGGCAGGGACAGAGAACCCACCACTTCCCAAATGCAATCACATGTATGGTCCCCTTGAGTTCAGCCCTTGCTCACTGAGGGTTCCAGTCAGATCCCATAAATACACACCCTGTTTGAATTAAGAAGCTCTCCCAGGGTGTACAGCTGGACATGTGCACCAGGGGCCCAGCCACAGGGTGCATGAGAGCTTAAACCCAACCTGTGCTCACTCGCCAAGCTGTGCACCCTGGCACAGGCTTGTGTCTGTCCAAAGAGGCAGTGCCTTTTTCTACTTTGCATGAGGGTATTGCATGGACTAACGCAGTCCTGTTGACAATGCCAAATGGGAAGCCAATGGCAGAGTTCCCTCTTCTCCTGATAATGTGTTCCTACCAGGATGCCCTGTCTTTCAAGGAATCCCACCCAAGCCAGAAAATCTGACTTCAGAGAATCTTCCCCTTGGAAAGGAGTCCATTTGGGGGTATCCCTCAGACTCTCCACAAGGCAGCCCCCTCCACCTATCTCCTAGGACAGAGACCTGAATACCAGAGCCCGGTCCAGGGGCAAACACTTCAGTGCCAATATCCAGGGAGAGATTCCGGGGTGTGCTCCAGGAAACACCATCATCCTTGCTCCATACCAACATGGTAGAGGCCACCTGGCAGCCGGCCTTGTGAGCACAAAGGGAGTAGAAAAGAAATACTACTCCTGTCTCAACATCGCTCACTACTGCCCCAAGGTTCAGCCCATCGGGGACATCCCCATCATTGACAATGAACGCTGTAGGAGACCATGTGCTGCCTGAAAAAAATTGGAGGAAGAAACCCAGAGTGAGCACTCTGCAGGTACCCTTTCTACCACTTCCCGTTAATTTCCCACCTTCTGCTAGGGACCTCAGGCCTTCCGATGGTCCCAGGGTGCAATCCAACACTTGCACTATCTATACCTCTTGTCCTGTTTTATTTTTCTCCATTGCATTTATCACCTTGCAACAGACAAAAAAGTTTACTTGTTTATTATGCTTGTCTGTCTCCTTCCAGTACAATTTAAATCCTGAGGGCAGAGATTTTTGATCTGTTTTGTTCGTGGCTATATTCATGAAACCTAAAATAGTGCCTGGTATAGGTATATAGTACCCAATAAATGTTTGCTAAGTGAATGTCCAACTCCTTGGTGATCCCAATTTCCAGATCACTGTCCTAGACACTTGCCCTTCTCGGGTTCCCTCTACCCCTCAGGGACTCAGGCAACCAACCCTCTAAGTTCCCCTATCCTCAGGGCCCTTGGGCTCATTGGGCTGCCCACCCATCCAACCTAGCACCGGCTCTTTCACCCAGACATCTTTATACCCTGGTCCATGGACCTCCGCAGGGCGATGAACTTGGCCCCCTCATCGGATGAGGACATTTTCCTCGCCTCAGCAAAGGCGAGAAGAGTGCCCCGCGGAGTGGCTGTGATGAGCGGGATGCGGAAGGTGTCCACTGAGCCGATCTGTCTCCCGCTCACCCACAGCAGTTGCTCCATGGTCACCAGCGGCTGCACCTGTCATGGGAGGAGGAAGGGTCAACAAAGACAAACTTGTCTTGGGGGTTTTAGGAACCCACGTTCCGATGGGAGAGGGAGGATCTAATGGGGATCCCGAGTAGGGGATGGGGTCCCAGAACAAGAAAGAGGAACACGAAGGGGAGTTTGGAGCGAAGCTGGAGGCTCGGAGCAGGGGAGGGTCTACGAAAGGAGAAGGCGCCTTCAGGGAGGGAAGGGGACCCCAAAAGAGGAAGGGGCTCGAATGAGGAGAAGGACGGGGACCCGGAGAGGGAGAGGGGCTGGGAGCGGTAGGAGGAAACGGGGTCTGGGAGAAAGAAAAGGGTCCTGTCGCGGAAAGTCGGCTCAGCCGCCCGCGTTCCGGGGGACACTAGGTGTCGATCACCTGCGCGGGTCGGGGATGGGGCTATGCAAAGGGTGACTCACCAGACCGAAGTCGTTCTCAGCCTTGGACCAGGAGGCTGCCAGAGACAGCAGCAGGAAGATCGCGGCAAACACCCAAACCCTACAGCCTCCCCAGAAGCCCAGAATCCGCGGCCCCCAGCGTCTGTCCGGGAGCGCCGTGCTGGGTCGCTCCCCAGTCATCTCTCCCCGCAGCTGCCGCGACCCTGGCAGCTAGACTCCACAGAGTCGGGAGTCAGCTGACCCGGACCCTTTAAAGCGCAGATGTCACCCTTAAGCCCGCCCCGGTCTGGAGGCCCCGCCGCGCTTCCCGGACTCTAATTGGTCTTCAAGTAGCTCATCTCCTCCCACGTGATCACGCAGCATCTCGAAGCTTGCCCTTCCGATTGGCCCTCTTGGAGGCCCTCTTGGAGGCCCGGAGCGCGTGACCCGAACGGGAAGCGGACTGGCTGGGGTGAAGAAGGGACTGGCACCATCCTTATTGGGCTTTTTGATTGGCCGCGGCACCAGGACACGTCACAGGGGCGGGGCCGATTTTAAAGAGCCGGGCGCGGAAAAAAAAAGGCCGCCTGTCGTCGTGGAGAGAATGAGTCACAGATTTACTGAGTTAACAAAATATCTTTAATAAAATCTTTTTGTTTGTTTGTTTTGTTTTGGAGACAGAGTCTGTCACCCAGGTTGGAGTGCAGTGGCGCGATCTCGGCTCACTGCAACCTCTGCCTCCCGGGTTCAAGCGATTCTCCTGCCTCAGCCTCCCGAGTAGCTGGGATGACAGGTGCATGCCACCACTCTCGGCTAATTTTTGTATTTTTAATAGAGACGGAGGTTTCACCATGTTGGCCAGGCTGGTCTCGAACTCCTGACTCAGGTGATCCGCCCGCCTCAGCCTCTCAAAGTGTTGGATTACAGGCGTGAGCCACGGCGCCTGGCCTAAAACCTTTTTTTACCACAAAATGGAGACCTGTAAGGCGAAGTGAGGTTGGATGGCTGGACGGTGGGGGTGGGGTGCAGTCCTGGATCAGGGCCGGAGCTGTCACTTCTTCCTCTTCTTGTTGTCCGGGGGCGCCTCGTTCTTCTTGCCCAGAATCTTTAGAAGGCTCTTGGACATGTAGTAGGGCCGGTCCAGGGAGCCGTTGTTCCGCTCCAGGTCTTCCACTGAGCCGCAACAGAGACCGGTTAGAGCGGACCCTGGGGCCAGGAAATCGGGGACTGGGAGGCAAGCTGCCTGCGGGATTTGGAATCCAAGCTGCACCACCACCCTTACCCCCGGGCAGGTTATGTAATCTCAGTTTCCTCCTGTGAAGTGGGGTCGGGAATATTATGTTGCATAGAGCGATGATAAGAATTAGCGGAAAAAATGCATGTCAGTCGCTTAGGAGGAGACTGGCAAACCCTGAATGGATGCATGCTGTAGAGTAAGAAAATCCCCTGCCGCTACAGCCACCTGCTGGGAAGTCTCTCTAATGGCTCTTTTTTTTTTTTAATCTTTTTTCTTTGTTTTGAGACGGAGTCTTGCTGTCGCCCAAGCTGAAGTGCAGTAGCGCAATCTCGGCTCGCTGCAACCTCCGCCTCCTGAGTTCAAGCGATTCTCCTGCTTCAGCCTCCCAAGTGGCTGGGATTACAGGCGCCCGCCACCGCGCCCAGCTAATTTTTTGTATTTTTAGTAGAGAGGGGTTTCACCATGTGGGCCAGGCTGGTCTCGAACTCCTGACCTCAGGGTGATCTGCCCACCTCGGTCCCCCAAAGTGCTGGCATGACAGGCGTGAGCCACCATGCCTGGCCTCTAATGGCTAACTTCTACCCGAGATTTCTTAGGGAAGATAGCAGAGACCTCTCCATCAGAATGCTCCTTCTTTGGAGAGCCTACCGGCCTGGGGGCTCACTCTCTTCCTTCTTCCCTAAACGCCTGGCCTCAGGATGTCACAAGAAGCTCCCTCTGGTTCGTTTAGCTCACAAAGGCATTGTTTCTAGAAGCACCAAATCTCCAAAAAAAAAAAAAAATGCTTGAACGGCTCAGTACTTTAAGGTTGGGGACAGGTGGCTGGGGGTGTCACTCACGGAAGCAGAGGAAGAGCGTGTCCACACACATGCCGAAAACGCTGAAGAAGCCGCTGGCGATGACATAGGCCCCCAGGATGGAGGTCTGGAAGACATGACCCGTTGGGGTTATTGGGTTCCTCTGGGGAGTTGGGGGTGGAGCAGCAGAGAGGGGAGTCACTCACCATGATGGGCAGCCAGTAATAGTTGAGGTGGGGGCTCTTAAAGTCTTTACCCAGCCCCGGGATGCGACCGGAGAAAAAAAAGAAGGACAGGACCCCTGTGGAATAATTCTGGGGGTTAGTGCTGCACCTCTGAGGCCACCTCTTCAGCTGCCCAGCACCCCTACCCTCTGTCCCCACAGCTTCTGGTCCCTTACCCACGCCTCCGACCACCAGCAGCTTCCCAAAGAACAGCAGCAGGTCTGTGACTTTGTCCAGGACGACCACCCTGTGCCAGAAGTTAGGGCAGGTTGAGGGTGAGAGGCCTGGCAATGCTGAGAGTGAAATTGGCTTCGTAATTTGTGGGGACTGGTGCAAAATGAAAATTGTTCACGTTTCAAGATGGCAAGAGCAGAGCACTAAACTAAGTCTAGGGCCCGACTGAGCACAGCACACCCACGAAGCCAGCCTTGGGTGGGAGATCAGAGGAGGGAGCCACAAAGCGGGGGGGGAGCAGCCTAACCTGACAATGTTTCGCATGAGTAGCATGAACGCATTTTTGGCTGAGACACAGAAATTCTTCCCGTAGATGGCGATCTGAGGGAGGTGGAAAGGTCAGAGTTACCAAGGCGAGCTGCCTGGACCAGGATGGGGGTGTCTAGACCAAAGGGCACCAGAACAAAGGGTTGCTTGCAGTGTAGCTCACCATGATGTATGCATTGCGGTTTAGGAACTTGATAAATTTTTCCAGACACCAGAGGCAGCACTTGAAACAGCACATGATGCAGCGGGCTACAGGGTTCTGCACTCCTGGGAGCGAGGAAGGCTCATGTTTGGTCACTGCCCCTCCCTAATGGCCTTCCCCAGCTCCTGACTCCTACTCCGACTCCAGACTCACCTCTGAGCTTGTGGTCAATATACTCCAAGATGACCCGGGCTATCTGCACAAGGGTCAGGATGAGGGCTCCAAATGCCAATGACCCAGTGTGGTAACTGCAGAGGGTGTTATGCAGTCAGAGACAGCTCCAGGACCCCTGGGGCCCCCGTGCCTACAATGACCAGGCCCCTGCCCCATCCTTACCGGAGTGTGCGGATGAAGGCAGAGATTAAGGGGAAGGTAGGGATGTCCTGGGGCTTGTGGAAGGCCCAGTAGAAGGAGGCAAAGGCTCCAGCGAGGACGCATTGGCCCAGGGCCAGTACCCAGTTAAGGGTCCAGAAGAGCCCCAGGACCCCATAGATTTGCAGATTGAAGACAGAACGTTGGATTAGGCCTTTGGATGAGTAGCCCTGGAAGACGCACATCAGCCCTGGGCACGAGGAGTTCACAAGGTGGGCCTGGGAGGGTAGACGGGGATAGAGTAGGCTCAGGCATCGGGGGCCTCAGTATGGAGCCTGGGCGTCCCATTCCCAGTAGCTCCTGCCCCTCCCAGAGTTGACAGGTGGGAAGTAGCTTCTCTGGACTGCGGGAATCAAGTTCTGTCGGAGAGTTCCATCTCCAGGCTCAAACTCAGTTTGGTCTGCCTATAGCATAAGCATAATCAGCTCCCTCAGTCTCAATCAGAGGGGAAGGCACTCAGCATTCCCATTCCAGAGCAGCCTCTGCAACGTCTACCAAAACCCTTTCCGGCAAATTGAACAGGCTGGGTATTTGATGATATTAAGGAATTATTGTTAATTTTGTGAGATGTGATAATGATATAGTGGCTATGCTTTTAAACAGTTCTTATCTGTTGAGATCCATCTCGATGCATGTACAGGTGAAATGGCATGATGTCCAGAATTTGCCTTAAAAGTCTCCAGAAAAAAAAATTTATGAGGCGGGTGCGGTGGCTTATGCCTGTAATCTCAGCACTTTGGGAGGCCGAGGTGGGCGGATCGCCTGAGGTCAGGAGTTCAAGACTAGCTTGGCCAACATGGTGAAATCCCATCTCTACTGAAAATACAAAAAATTAGCCGGGCGTGGTGGCAGACGCCTATTATCCCAGCTATTCAGGAGGCTGAGGCAGGATAATTGCTTGAACCCAGGAGGCAGAGGTTGCAGTGGGCCGAGATCGCGCCACTGCACTCCAGCCTGGGAGACAAGAGCAAAACTCCATCTCAAAAAAAAAAAAAATTATAGGTGAGGATATAGATGAAATAAGAATAGCAAAAAGTTGAGGGTTGTGGAATCTGGGTACAGGGAACTCACTGTGCTATCATCTCTACTTTTGCATATGTTTAAAAATTCCCATAATAAAAAGTAAAAAGTCACAAATTAAAAAGCAACCCTTTCTAGCAAATATAACCAAAAAAATTTTTTTTTGACACAGGGTCTCGCTCTGTTGCCCAGGCTGGAGTACAGTGGCTCAATCTCAGCTCACTGCAACCTCTGCCTCCCGTGTTCAAGCAATCCTCCTGCTTCAACCTCCCAAGTAGCTGGGACTGCAGGTGTGTGCCACCATGCCTGGCTAATCAAAAAATCTTTTTTTTTTTTTTGAGATGGAGTCTCACTCTGTCACCATATTGGCCAGGTTGGTCTCGAACTCTGGACCTCATGATTCACCTGCCTCGGCCTCCCAAAGTGCTGGGATTACAGGTGTGAGCCACTGCGCGCGGCCTTCTGTCAGTCTTTACTGCTAGATCACAAGCAAGTTGAAAACAACACTCACGTCATACCCAGCACAGTTGCTCATGTGTATAATCCCAACACTTTTGGAGGCTGAAGCAGGCAAATTGCTTGAGCCCATTTGTTTGAGACCAGCCTGGGCAACATAGTGAAACGCCATCTCTTAAAAAAAAAAATTAGCCGGGCATGGTGGCACTTGTTTGTAGTCCCAGCTACTTGGGAGACTGAGGTGAGAAGATCACTTGAGCCTGGGAGATCAAGGCTTCAGTGAGCCATGATCGCATCACTGCACTCCAGCCTGTGTAACAGCCTTTTTTTCATTAAAAAAGAAAAAAAAAAGAAAAAGAAAAAGAACCACATCATTTTGGGCTTTGTATACCCAGTGCCTGGCACATAGTGGGTCCTCTGTACATGTAAATAAACCTTTTTTTTTTTTTTTTGAGACGGAGTCTCGCCGCCCAGGCTGCAGTGCAATGGCGCGATCTCAGCTCACTGCAACCTCCGCCTCCCGAGTTCAAGCAATTCTCCTGCCTCAGCCTCCTGAGTAGCTGGGATTACAGGCACCTGCTACCATGCCTGGCTAATTTTTGTACTTTTAGTGGAGACAGGTTTTTGTCATGTTGGCCAGGCTGGTCTCAAACTCCTGACCTCAGGTGATCTGCCCACCTCGGCCTCCTAAGTGCTGGGATTACAGGCATGAGCCACCGCGCCTGCCAAACCTCCCCTTTTTAATAGGGGTGGGGCTAATGCCTGCAGCACAGCTCATGTTCCCAGCTCAGACGAGGTGAAGATATGACAGGTTTGAGAAGAGTAAATTCCCAGCAGCCCAGCGCCACTCCCGGGGAACCTCACAGGGGAATTTTGGAAGCAGCTTCTCTCTCGGGTCCCCCGCAGGGAGTCCCACCTGGCTACTACCTAGGGCTCTGTGTTCCAAGGGAGTAAGACTTAACAATATAATACAATTCAACCTGTTGTTGAGCTCTTATCAGGTGCCAGGCATTGTACTAAGCACTTTATGTGCCCAAAGTCATTTCATCTTCTCAGCCACCCCAGGGATGGGTATTATAATTATCCTCATTTTACAGAGGAATGGAGCTGCATGTGGTGGCTCACTCCTATAATCCCAGTACTTTGGGAGGTTAAGCCAGAGGATTGCTTGGGTACCTGACTACATCGGGGCAACCCCAGGAGTTCAAGACCAGCCCGGGTAACACAGCAAGACCTTGCCTCTACAAAAAGCTTAAAATTAGCCTGGCGTGGTGTCGTACGCTAGTAGTTCCAGCTGCTCAGGAGGCTGAGGTGGGAAGATTGCTTGAGCCTGGGGGATGGAGGTTGCAGTGAGCTGAGATTGCACTGCTGCACTCCAGCCTGGGCAACAGAGCAAGACCCTGTCTCAAAACAAACAAACAAACAAACAAACAAACAAACAAACAGGAGTAGGCTGAGACTCAGAGGGTGAAGTGGTTGATGGTCCTCAAGTCAGAGCAATGTCCTGGGGAGGGGTGGAGTAAGTCCTGGTATCCAGGGCTGTCTCTCCCAGCCTCAGTTTCCCTCCCCACATGATGGATGGCTCAACAGGAGTACCAGGTATTCTGGGAACTGGTTTCTTCTAGCTCTGCTGGGGGTTGAGTGTGTGACCTTGCACAAGTTTCTTGCCCTCTGTGGCCTCAGTCTTCTCTGCACAATGAGGAATGTGGCCCCTACAGCCCCTCACCCCTACTAGTCCCGCCTCCATGTCCCCTGCTTCCTCTTACCGTGGGGTTGCATGATGTATTTATTGGCACTTTCTCACAGCCGGGGGAGCTGATGTTGGATGCCCAGAGCACATACTGGGGTTGCCCCGATGTAGCCAGGTACCCAGAGGGGAGTCAAGGAAAGCATGATCACACGAGGTCTCCACAGGTCACTCGCTCCTTAGGGACCTGTTCCTAGGTGCTTGTGCAGATCGTTTGCTGCACAGAGAGGGCTGAAATTCAGCCTGTGTGCACCCTTTCAACTCTGTTCAGGCACAGTGCTGGTGTGTCTGCCCAGAGAAAGGGGCACCTCTTCCAGTGACACCAAGGCACTCTACAGGGCAAGTATTGCTTTGTTTTCCATCACCCCCCAGGACTCCAAGAGTGGCTGGCTGCGTGGGCAGAGGATACAGAGCAGTCATGGCCCAGTAGGCAATGCAGATGAGGAGGAGGACAAAGGTGACCAGTGGGTAGAACATGGTAGACATCATCTGTCCCACAGCCCTGCAGGGAGACAAAGCTGTTAACCGGCACCGCCCCAGCTGTCCATCTTCTCAAGGGGCTGACCCCGGCCGGGCGCAGTGGCTCACGCCTGTAATCCCAGCACTTTGGGAGGCTGAGGCGGGCGGATCACGAGGTCAGGAGATCGAGACCATGCTGGCTAACACGGTGAAACCCCATCTCTACTAAAAATACAAAAAATTAGCCGGGCATGGTGGCGGGCGCCTGTAGTGCCAGCTACTCCGGAGGCTGAGGCAGGAGAATGGCGTGAACCCGGGAGGCGGAGTTTGCAGTGAGCTGACATCGCACCACTGCACTCCAGCCTGGTCGACAGAGCGAGACTCCGTCTCAAAAAAAAAAAAGGGGGGGGGCTGACCCCTCTGCCCTCACTGGGGCCTGCCCCACTCCCCCAGGGTGGGACCAACAGGGTTAGTGACATTGTCTTTCATATCTGTGTCCTCAGGGCCTGGTGCAGGGCTAGGCATACTGTAGGTGCTCACTGGATAAACAGAACTGAATAAATCAGGCTCACAGGACCCTTAGAGGAAACTGGGGTCACAGAGAAGCCACCTGGGGCAGCTTCGGGTGGAGTAAGGGAAGATCACCCCCAAGCGTGATCCCTTGGCAGGTGTGTGTGGCAGTTCCTGATCGGGAGCAAGCTGCTGCCCCTCCTGGCCCGGATTCCTGCCGTTCCACTCAGCCACCACCACTCCCACCAACCCCTCTAGAAGGCCTATGTCATATTCCAGGCACTCATTGAATCCTCAAGACAACCCTAGAAGGCAGGAATTATTGTTACCCCCATTTTACAGATGGGGAAGCAAAGCCACAGCAGTGTTCACCACTGTGCTATATTCCTCCCTTCTCCTCTGAGGCTCCCTGCCACCTCTCTAGCACCCCCTAGGTCCCCTAGCACTCCTGGGTCCACGCTGTCCTCAACCCCATCTCCCTCCCAGGCAGGCCCTAACTTGCTGGCCTCCTTCAGGAGGGCGATGGCAATACGAATCCGCTGCCGCAGGAAGATGAGCATCAGCAGCAGGATGGCTTCAAGCACCGCCAACACGATCACTGCAGAGGACGGGGCAGACAGACCTAGGTCAGGGCCAGGGCTGGGGCCGGGCATGGCCCAGGGCGGTCCTTGGGCAGCTGGTGGCTTGGGGGTGGGCAGGACACTCACGGGCGGCCAGCCAGGTCTCCTGCACGCTCTGGTAGGCACTGAGGTTGGTGGTGAAACCCAGCTGGGAGATGGAGGCGCCCTTGTCCCGCAGCACTCGGTACTCCTCCCAGCAGTAGTAGATGCCGTATGCCAGCACGCCCAGCACTCCCAGGATCAGCACCAGCACCAGGGGCCCAGCCACCAGGCGCAGAAGCAAGATAAACAGTAGGCTCAAGACCAGAGCCACCCCCAGGGCACTGTAGGCAGGGTGAGGACAGTGAGGTTCAGCCCTAGCCCCTCAAATCTTTCCCCTTACAGAGGCCCTCCCTGCCTTTCCACACACCACCCAATGTCCCCAGATTAGGCCTCTTTCCCTTATAAATCCTGTTGGTCTTGGAATCCATTCGGAGCTCTGGCTCCTCCTCCTCTGTCCAAAGCCTGTGTTTCAGACATTGGGCGAGGGGGTAGAGGATCAGGGAGGAAGAAGGCAAGGACACAAGAGGAGGGGAATCTGGTGACTCACACAAGAATCCAATACCAGGACTGGGCAAAATCTTCAAAGATCTTAACACTGATGTCTCGGGCATTGAGGCTGTCAATAAGACCGCTGTTGGGGAGACAGAGTCAGATGGGGCTGTGGGTGGAAGGGGTGTGGCCAGGATGTGGGGGAGGGAGGTGCCTACCTGATCCCCTGCTGTATGGTGGTGTCATTGGTGATCCCTGGGAGCGCCGGTGGAGTAACGTTGGTCCATGGAAAGCAGCGCCCCAGAGCTGGAAGGGAGAGCCGGGCTGCTGGGTTGGGGGCCAGGAGCTCTGCCTGGAGGGTCTCTGGCCCCCTCCCAGTCCACAGTGCCCTTAGGGGAGGGAAGGGTGATGGGCCTTGCATCCCTCAGTGGGCTGCTTTTGATTTCACAAATGGGCTTCTGCCCTGTGGAGCCCAGTCTATCCCCTGCCTCCCCTCCCTGTCGTGCCTTGGTTTGGACCCTCCTCTCCGCTGGCCTCAACTCTTAGAACACCCTGTCACCCTTCCATCCACCCTCCACCCGAGTGGAGTGCCAGGGAGACCGTGGCACTGCCTGGACTTCATCACTCCAGGGTTCTGGGTCCCTTTGTGACTCAGACATCTCCAGAGGCTCTGCCCCAGAGACAGCATCCACACTCCCTGGCCAGGCTTCCAGGCTCTCCTGTGCAAATCCAGCCCATGTTCCCTTCTACTCTGTACCTTTGCTCTTACTGTGCCTCTCTCTCAGGGCTCTCTTTCCACCAGAAATCCCATCCATGACTCCCTGTTCAAATCCAGCTCCATCTCACCTCCTCCAGGAAGCCTTCTGACCTTATCCCCACCTCCTTTGGCAACTGTTATGTGCCTACAGAGCCACTTACTGCCATCCTTGCAACAACTTTGCCAGGCAGCCTTGCTTTGTCATTTATTTATCTATTTATTTATTTATTTTCTTATTTTTGAGTCAAGGTCTTGCTCTGTCACCCAGGCTAGAGTGCAGCTGCATGATCATAGCTTACTGCAACATTGAACTTCTGGGCTCAAGCGATCCTCCCCACTTAGCCTCCCAAGCAACTGGGACTATAGATGTGCACCACCACACTTGGCTAATTTTTAAATTTTTTGTACAGATGGGGTTTTGCTGTGTTGCCCAGGCTGGCCTCAAACTCCTGGGCTCAAGCAATCCTCCCACCTCAGCCCCCCAAAGTGTTGGGATTACAGGTGTGAGTCACCTCACCTAGCTTATTTATTTTTTAGAGGCAGGGTTTCTCACTCTATTGCCCAGGCTGGAGTGCAGTGGCACAATCATAGCTCACTGTAACCTCCAACTCCAGGACTCAAGTGATCCTCCCGCCTTAGCCTCCTGAGCAGTTGGGACTACAGGCATGAGCCACTGCACCTCACTGTCATTTACATTCTAAAGATGAGGAAACAAGGTTCAGAGAGGTTGCATAGTTGGGTCAAGACCATAGGGCTGGAAAGTGCTAGAATTTATATTCAGATCTACTTGACTTTGAAGTATTCACTTGAGATACTCCTTACTGTACTTAAATTGATAACTGGATATCTCATCTTATGCTATAAATTGTCTAATTTTTTTTTTTTGAGATGGAGTCTCACTGTTGCCCAGGCTGGAGTGCAGTGGCACCATCTCGGCTCACCGTAAACTCCGCCTCTGGGCTCAAGCAATTCTCCTACTTCAGCCTCCCGAGTAGCTGGGATTTCAGGTGCCCACCACCACACCTGGCTAATTTTTGTATTTTTAGTAGAGACGGGGTTTCACCATGTTGGCCAGACTAGTCTCGAACTCCTGACCTTGTGATCCGCCCGCCTCGGCCTCCCAAAGTGCTGGGATTACAGGTGTGAGCCACTGCTCCCGGCCTAAAATTTTTGTTTGAGACGGAGTCTCGCTCTGTCAGCAAGGCTAGAGTACAGTGGCACGATCTTGGCTCACTGCAAAGCTCACTGCAACCTCTGCCACCCGGGTTCAAGCAATTCTCCTGCCTCAGCCTCCTGAGTAGCTGGGATAAGAGGTGCATGCCACCACGCCCAGCTAAGTTTTGTATTTTTAGTAGAGATAGGGTTTCGCCATGTTGGCCAGGCTGGTCTCGAACTCCTGATCTCAGGTGATCTGCCTGCCTCAGCCTCCCAAAGTGCTAGGATTACAAGCATGAGCCACCATGCCTGGCCTAAAAATTGTTTTATATTAAAAATGACATTTGCAACTGGGTGTCGGGGCTCATGTCTGTAATCCCAGCACTTTGAGAGGCTGAGGTGGGAAGATTGCTTGAATCGAGGAGTTCAAGACCAGCCTGGGCAACATAGCAAGACTTCATCTCTTAAAAAAAAAAAAAGACATTTGCTACTGGAAGGAAGAGCACACTGTAAAAGAAAAAAAGTTCAACTGTGATCCTACCACCCAGCCACGTTCACTTATAACATTTGAACAAATATCCTTCTAGCCTTTTCCCTGTGCATATATAAAAATGATATGTGTGCAGGCTGGGCGTGGTGGCTCATGTCTGTAATCCCAGCACTTTGGGAGGCCAAGGTGGGTGGATCACGAAGTTAGGAGTTCAAGACCAGCTTGGCCAAGATAGTGAAACCCCGTCTCTACTAAAAATACAAATTTAATAAATAAATTTAATAAATAAAATAAAAATAAAAATTAGCCGGGCGTGGTGGCGGGCACCATGTGCTGTAATTCCAGCTACTCGGGAGGCTGAAGCAGAGAAGCGCTTGAACCCGGGAGGCGGGGGTTGCAGTGAGCCGAGATCACGCCACTGCACTCCAGCCTGGGCAACAGAGGAAGACTCCGTCAAAAAAAAAAAAATGTGTGTGTAGATTCACCCATGTATGTTTTCATGAGATTTTCATACAGTCTCTTTGTGAACAACTCTAATCTCTTCACCTAGAATGTAGCTGAAGCAGGGAGCAGTTGTTATCCCTGCCTCTGTCCCCAGCACCTGGCACATAGTAGGTCCCCAAAACACTGATGGTCTGACTGCAAGGCCACATAACAAAGAGCAAAATGAAGACCTGATGCTAATTCCAATTTTGCCACCAACAAGCTATGTGACTTCACTCTCTCTGGGCCTGATTTCTTCATTCAAGCAATGAAAACACTGGACTAGATGACGTCTGAGGAAGGAATCTGTGCTTCTCACCTGGAGCAGAGGGGAGGAGGAAACTGGGGCAGAGTTCCTGTTGCAGGCTTGTGATCACCGTCTGTGGCAGGAGTGAAAGGACAGACACACAGACACAGAGCAGGATGAAGAAGCAGGTCCCCTCACCACCACCATGGGGCTCAGCCTGTCCCACACTCCCCAGGAGAGCCAACCTGGTGATGATCTACCCAACTCCCCCTCCCTCTCGTGCCCACCCTGGCCCTTCTGGGCGACAGTGATGAGGTTAGGGGCAATATTCACCATATTCCAGGGTACCCCTGGCAGACAAAAGTTCCTGTTTTTTGTATAGAAGACTTCCCCAACAGTCTGTGAGAACTCGTTTTTTCCCACAGTCCATGGGTCCTCCGGGCAGGAGGACACACACACCTGGGTGCAGAGAGAACACTAAGGGGCTGGAACCTGAGACCCTGGGTGAGATCTGGGGTAGAGGCAGGTCCCAGGCTCTGACCTGGGGTGTGGGGCACTGTAGGCCGTTCTCAGCAACTGAGATGATGTTGCTGGACAGGATGCAGCTGAAGATGTTGAAGTACAGGAGATACGGCTTATCTCTGTGGGAGGGGAGGGACCATGTGCATCAGGGCCTGGTCAGGTGTTGGGGGAGGGGAGGGACCACTAGGGTGGCTTCTCAAGAATACAGTGGGCCCAGCCCAGCGTGGCCCATACCAGTCACCTCCCAGCTCCTGGCCCTAGCTCAGCTGGGGAGGTAGGGAGATGCCTAGAAGATCTCTCAGAGTAAGTCACCATTGCAGCAGCTGACAAATAGCTCAGAGCATGAACTTGGAGCTCCACAACTTCATATCATCTTTATGATCTTGAGCAAGTCACCTGTTCTCGGTCTTAGTTCTACTCCATATAAAACAGTAGTGCCTACCTCATGAGATTTCAATGCGCTTGTGTGTGTAAAGTTTACTGCCTGCCTGGAACATAGTAAATGCTATATAAATATTTGAGGTTTTATTATTTATTGGACATCTGTATGTGAGGACTGTTGGCATTGCTTCTGGAATTCCCCTTGAATTTCAAATAAGGAAATCAAAGCTCAGAGAGCTTGAGTAACTTGTCCAAGGCCACACAACCAAAACTTGGTCCAGTTGGGGATCCAAACACCAATCTCTGAACTGTAAAACTCATACACTTAACACGACTCTCCACTGCCTCCCATTTCTGGGGGGACTCAAGAAGCTAACTGTCCAGCAATGGTTCTTAACGTGGCCTGGAGTTGTCAGATTCAGGGAGGCTGAGGTGGGGTGGGGACAGCAGGGAAAGGCTGTGGAAGAGCACGGACAGGTCTGGAGCCTGAGTTGGGGGGGTGTCTCCTGCCCACCCTACCTCGCCTCGCTCCTGCACTCCTCTTCTCGCCTTTGTACTCACTTGTTCTCCCCCATGCCACAGTAGGCCCCAGTAGAGTTCCTGGGGTAGAGGACTTGCCGGGGGTCTCCATACAACCAGGCTGCAGACAGAGGCACAGATGAGTCATTGGAGGGCAGGGACTTAGTGGGGCAGTTATGGGAATGGTCCCTCCCTGGGTTCCTGTCCCTCACCCACTGCCCTGGCTCTGAGCAGCTGGAAACTCACCCACAATCCCCACCACGATGTAACCTAGAATGAAGAGCAGGAAGAGGACGCAGCAGATGACATCTGTGCAGCTTCTGAGAGAGAAACGAAACGGGAGGCTGAGCTAAGGAGACTTGGGGAGGTAGGGCTTATGGTCTGGAGGGGTTAAGGGTTAGAGAGTTGGGTGATGCTGCAGCATGGGCATCAGTAGGCTTTATTTTTATTTTTTTATTGCTTTTACTTTTTTATTTTGAGACAGGGTCTCACTCTGTCACACAGACTGGAGTGCAGTGGTGCAATCTTGGCTCACTGCAGCCTCTGCCTCCTGGGTTCAAGCAATTCTCCTGCCTTAGCCTCCCGAGTAGCTGGGATTACAGGCGCGTGCCACTACTGCCCGGCTAATTTTTTTTAAATATTTTATTTAGAAAACCTAGCCAGGCACAGTGGCTCACGACTGTAATACTAGCTACTTGGGAGGCTGAGGCAGGGCAATCCCTTGAGGCCAGGAGTTTGAGACCAGCCTGGGCAACATAGTGAGATCCCATCTCAAAGAAATTAGCCTGGTGTGATGGTGCATGCCTGTAGTCCCAGCTACTCGGAAGGCTAGGGCAGGAGGATCACTTGAGCACAGGAGTTCGAGCCTGCAGTGAACCCCCATCTCCAAAACACAAAAAGAAAGAAAACCTTTTTCTGGGTGGGTAAACTTTCTTCTGAAGTAAAAGACAGAAAAGCACACAACTCGCAAGGGCTCAGCTGGGTGAGTTCTCTCGCTTGTGAAGCCGGCACTTAAGTCAAGAAACAGAACATCCCCCCAGAACTGGGAAGCCCTCGATGCCTGCTCCAGACACAACAATCCCCCCAGGGCACCACCCATCTGGGGCAGGAGTTTCTCTTTTTCACAAGTTTCCTACTAATATTTTAGCAAATACAAAGCAAATACTGGATTCCACACTGCACCCACCACCCCCGCCAGCCCCCGGAGCAGTGCCCAGAGCTCACCTGTTCTTGATGGGGCCTCGAAAGGAGGGGTCGTATTTGACTGGCTTCCCTGAGGGACATGAGAAGAGGTGTGGAGGATGAGTCTCTCTCTGCATATCTTGTCCTGCTGAGTCCTCCTAGCCCCAGGATCCTACCCAGGCCTCAGGTGTTTGGAGGGAGATGGGCTAGGGCAGGACTGGCAGGAGGGGAAAACTGGGGAGCAGGAAAGGTAGGATCCAGGCCTGGTCAGCAGCTCAGCAGCTCCCTGGGAGCTCCACCCAGGCTGCCATGGGGAGGGGAAGGAAGGCCTTTATAGTTTCCGGCTCACATCTCAAGGCAGTCAGTCTGGGAAATGGCCTTGGTCCCCTGCCCTACCCTGGCACGGTTCTCCTGAGTCTCCCTTTAGCTGGGATGTGGGACTCCCAGTGGCTCTCACTCCCTCATTCTCATCCCTGCCTCCTCCCTAATCCCTCCCCAGGGACCACACAGACCCACAGCCCCTCAGGGAGGTCATGGCCTCTTCCCCTATCTGCCCCAGGCCCTACCTTACCCTCTGGTTCAAGGCTATGGGGAAAGAAACTGGAGACAAAGGTGTCAACCCCAGCAGGGCCTGGGGAGGGAAGCGGCCCTGTACATCCTCACTCTGGTGGGACCTCAGTCCCCTGGCCACAGTGTGCTCCGGGCTCTGGGCCAGCAGTCAGAGTGACACCTGAGCCCAGCCATAGAGATTGCAGGCACGTTGAGTTCCTGGTCCTCCCTGAGTACACACACAGGGAGGAGGAGGGCTGGGCAGTCAGGGTTCCTTGTGGGCACTGAGGAGGGAGAGCCGAGGGCTGGGCAGGAGTCTGGGAAGGAGCGGGTGGGGTCCACTTTCCCCAGGTGCGCTGGACTCTGTCCCTCCATGGCTCATGGACAATGATTGACCTGAAGCCGCTCCAGGAAGTCTACTCGGGAGTCCTCACTGCCTGCTCCCCTATGGCCCTAAGGGACTCAAGCCTCTCCTCGAGAAGGTCCCTCATAGGGGTTCCTTCCCCTTCAGACCAGAAGACCAGGGGGGCCTCCGCAGGTGAGTCCCCAGCCTTCACTGCTCGTGGGGATCTGGAGGCCAGTCCCCAGCTCCCTCTCTCCTCAGAACCCCAGCCCCTTTTCCTTGCAGATTCTGGAAACAGGCTCCCTGCTGTTTCTCCCCTCAGGCCTCACCCTTCACAGGAACCCCAGGGGCCCTGTCCCTATTCCTCAGAGTACCCCAAGACCAGCTCCTGCTCCTAGCTCCTCACAGAGACCCCTAGGCAGGACCCCAGCCCCCTTTCCACAAAGACCCTCAGCCCCAACTCCTCACAGGGACCCCCAGCAGAACCCACTCCCTCTGCCACTTCTCCCAGAGACCCTGGCAGGCAGAGGCCAGCCCACTCAGGGTCCCCTCACTCCTCAAGGGAGCCGGCAGACCACAAGCAGCTTTCGCCCTCAGAGACCCAGACTCCAGGCTGAACCTCCTCCTCCTTACAGGGACCCTGGCCTCACTGGTTGCAGGCTCTGCAGCACAGGACACTCCCAGCATCCAGCCCTATTCTGCTCAGGGCCCCAACCTGCCACCTTCCATCTCGGCTTTGTTTCCTAGGGCCCTGCCCTTAGGGACCCAGAGTCCAGGCCTGAAATACCCCCCTCCTCCCAAGGACCTCAGCCCCAACTCTTCAGAGGCACCCAGCTTCACTCCCCATGGGCTCCCCAGCAACAGCCCCAGCCCCCGGGCCCCATCCTCCTCCCAGGACCCTGACTCCCTCCCTCCATGGCTCCCGGTTCCCGGGCCCTCCCCTCAGGGACACAGTACTCTCCTTAGTTCCTCTCCCTGGAGCCAGCCCCAGACACCATTCCCAAAGTACCCGTCCTCCCCTCCCTCCACAGGGTCCCGGGCCTCGCCCCAGTCTCACCGTAGGCCTCGTCATCCTCGTCCCGCTGCTTTCCCCCCATGGCTCAGTCTCCGGAGTGATTGGAGCCCTGGAGACCTGGCGTCTCACCTGCTGCCCGCCCCGCCCTCCCACACGTCACAGCCCCACCCCCGCCTGTGGTCCCCGACACACTCTAGTTCCTTCTTCTCAACTTTGTGCCCAGCGGGCTGGGGAGCTGGAGCCTGGGACGGGGGCTCAGGGCTATTTCCTGGGGGCACTACGGACCACAGTGAACGACCTGGCATGCTCTGATAAGAAAACGCTTTATAATCTCGCCAACTACCTTAACTGCCGTACACTCCCAACACGCTCCCGCCAAAGATTAAAGTGTGGAAATTGGACCTGTTTTTTCCTTTTTGAGATGGAGTTTCGCTCTTGTTGCCCAGGCTGGTGTGCAGTGACTCAATCTTGGCTCACTGCAACCTCCGCCTCCTGGCTTCAAGCGGTTCTCCTGCCTCAGTCTCTGGAGTAGCCAGGATTACAGGTGCCTGCCACCACGCCCAGCAAATTTTTTCTATTTTGAAAGATGGGGTTTCACCAAGTTGGCCAGGCTGGTCTTGAACTCCTGATCTCAGGTGATTCGCCTGCCTTGGCCTCCCAAAGTGCTGGGATTATAGGTGTCAGCCACCGTGCCTGTGAAACTGGATCTTCATAGTGGCCCCCCACCTCCCTGCCCCGCACTGGGCGGCCATCACACCAGCCACACCTGTCCAGCCTGCTTCCCATCCTATTCTGGCCCTTGGACCCACATTCCCTCTAGCCAAGTATGCTTTCTCCCCACCCCAACACAAAAATCGCAGTTTATTACCAAACCCAACATTTATTGAGAACAAAAGGAACCAGTTGGCATAGAGGCCCGACTTCAATTCATCAAACTTCAACTGAGGATGGGGAACACGGGGGGTGGCCAGCCCTGAAGTTGCCCTCCCAGGGAGGAACCAGCTCTGGGAGGGAGGGGCTGTCAGACCTCCAGGGCCTGGCTGGGATCTCTGGTCAGGAATGTGTGAAAGGGTGGTGGGGAGAGAAGATGGCAGCACCCCCAGGCATGGGCTGCGAGCAGCTGGTGGCAGAGGAGGCGGCTGAGCTGTGGCCATCCATGCTGGGGAGAGAGGGTGTGGTCCGTTCTCATGTGTTGACAGGGGGCAGGGAGCCGAGCTCGGGCAGCAGCTCAGGGTGTGGGTCCAGGCGGGCCAGACGGCTCTGCTCCAGGGCAATGGCTTCGGCTGAGTGCTTGCACTTCTCAGAGCCACATTGGCAGGTGAAATATTTGCTTTTGATGTCCCAGAAGCGGTCGCCATAGTCAAACCTGTCAGAGGAAAACAGGAGCTTGTGGGACCTGGACCCAGCCACCAAGAGCCCACCCCGAAGACCCTGTGGATCCTGCTCCCTGAGAGGGACCCGACACCCAACCTATCTTCTCCAGATGGGATCTGAGCCCCTTGTATGTTCTATGGACTTTCAGCATCAGCATTGCCTGGGGACTTTTTAGAAATGCAGAATCCTGGGCCCCATCCCAAGCCTACTGATTCAAAATCTCTCTGGGAGGCACAGGACTGTTTCCCCAAGTCCTCCAGGAAATACTTATGTACACTGAAATCTGAGAAGCTCTGCACTACTCCATGCCTGGACACCAGGTACATGCCAGCCTTCAGGTCCCAGGTTTGCTGCATCTCCCACCCCCTGGCAGAGCCCCTAGAGACCCCTAGAGTCTCACCCTAGCTCCTCCCCAGTCCGGATGTCTCGGGAACTGAAGAAGGCGATGCGTGGAAATCGCAGGTCTTGGTGCAGCATGAAGACCCGGACGGGAATGATGTTGGGGTCACACAGGTGGTTGATGAAGCGGCTGATGTTGCCATAGTAACGGGCATCTATGCAGTACACCTCTCCATCCTGGGGCAGGGGGATGGCACTCTTCACATCTCCCCCGACCCTGCTTGCCCTCCCCACCCACTGACTCCCCAGTCCCTCCTCCCCAGGTTTCCATTTGCTGACTTCCCAGAGGCTCCTGAAAGCCAGCCCTGGGGAGCAGCAGGGTAAGGAGGGTCTCCTGCTCACCTTGTTGTCTAAGTCGAAGAGGTAAGAATCATCCTCTCTCACATCAGCCTCAGCATCAGAGATCAGCTCCCCGACATACCTGTGGGACAGGAATCCATGGTTCTGAAGGTGAGTGTGGGCTATTAGGAGGTGGCTCCAGGCCCCATCTCTCTTCACAAGCCTGTGGAATCTGGAATGGGCAGGGCTGGCAGGTGTGGGGAAGGGAAGGCCTGGAGCAGCAGTGGTGGGCAAGTGAAAGGGCAGCATTCCAGCCTTGACAGAGGAAGCCTTCAGTCAGCACAGAGACAGACAACAAGCTCTGTGGTTAAGGGGATTAATGTGTAGGGGCAGTTGGCCTGGGTGGGGAAGTTCGGGTTTGGACACAGAGAGGTTTGTGTTCCAGGAGCCACCCGGCAGGAATGGGCGATATGGAACAGGAGAGGGGCCAGGACTGCAGGAAGAGCCAGAGGTACAGGAGTGGCAAGGAACTCAAGGCATGATTCGGGGCAAGAGCACCCACACATATCTGGACACCAGAGGGAGGAGAGGAGCCAGCTATCTAAGGAGGGTGAGCAGACATGGGAGATTCAGACACACGGAGAGGACGTGGGTGGGAAGTGACTGTCAAGAGACAGCTTCAGCAGAGTGGGAAGGGCAAAGGCCGATTTTGGCAGGGACAGGCAGTGAGTGGATGGTGGGGAAACTGAGGCCCAGCAGGAAGGGGCTGCTTGCCAGAGAAGTTGAGAGATGACATGATGGAAAGAAACTGGATGGTCTGTTGAACAGGCAAGTATGGTTAGAGGACTATCTTTTTTAAAGGCCAAAGAATGGTCAGGCACGGTGGCTCACGCCTGTAATCCCAGCACTTTGGGAGGCCGAGGTGGGCGGATCATCTGAGGTCAGGAGTTGGAGACCAGCCTGGCTAACATGGTGAAACTCCGTTTCTACTAAAAATACAAAAAATTAGCCGGGTGTGGTGGTGCGCACCTGTAATCCCAGCTACTTGGGAGGCTGAGGCAGGAGAATCGCTTGAACCTGGGAGGTGGAGACTGCAGTGAGCCAAGATTGTGCCATTGCACTCCAGCTTGGGCAACAAGAGTGAAACTCCGTCTCAAAAAATAAATTAAAAAAAAAAAAAAAAAAGAGCCAAAGGAGACTAAAGTAAGATTGAGGGTTGTGGGATGGCAGCCAAGAGAAAGGGGGAGATTACAGATGCTGGGCAGAGAAAGAACTGATGGAGAGGGACAGGCCCCTGAGGAGGTGGACAGATAGGTAGCTGTTATCACCTCCACTCTACAGACAAGAAAAATAAGGCTCAAAGAGGTTAAGTAACTTGGCCAAGAACATCCAGAAGCAGAGAGGGGCTCAAACCCAAGTCTGTTTGTCTCCCAAACTGGCACTTTCTCCAGCTAGGAAGGGCGAGGAGGGGGTGGAGGGGAAGGTAGAGGGTGGAGGTGGAGGGGAGGGAAGACAAGCTCTGTGGTCTGGGCAGAGTGGAGGCAGGTGCCATTCTCAGCTGGGGGGATGGGGGTCAGAGGCGGCTGGCTGCTCAGCTGCAGGAATAGGGGTCAGAGGAGGCTGGCTGGAGAGTGGCCAGATGGAGACATGTGACTCATCAGGGCAGATGGCTGAGAGGGAGGCCTGGCAGTCAGCAGTGGCCATGTATCCCCTTCCCACCAGGTGTTAAGGTGCTCCCGGTGACTTACTCGCAGATGAAGGTCCCCTGTGGGATGGTCTGCAGGGCGCGGACCCCCCAGCCCATCTTGGCTGTTCGGTAGAGCTGTAGCCGCACCCTGGGGGTAGGAGAGATGGCGCTGTTGGGTGGAGGCCCTGGAAAAGCCCCAGGGGCAGGGAGGAAAGGGTGAGGTGGGGAGAGGGTGGGCTGTGGAGCAGGGCCTCACTTGATGCCACTCTGTACGACCCGGTTCTTGCAGTTTCTCCAGCATGAGCACGCCTGGTTACACTCGAAAATCAGCGGAGGCTCAATCTTGTTAAATTCCTGGAGCAATCGCCCATCCTAGGGTGCGGAGGGGAGGATAGTGGTTTCTCTGTGGGGCCCACCTCAGCTGCCCACCCAGGAACCCCAAGACTCTACAGAGACAGGGAAGTTGGGGTTGGGGAGGTCACACAGGCTCTGAGATCCGAGAGCACGAAATGCAGGAGCATCATCCCTGGTTTGCATAGACCTGGGCACACGCCCATCGCTGTCCCAGCCACATCCCAGGATTCCCAGGCCTTGCCCAGTCCTCTCAGTCACTTCCCCCACAGGGTAGGAGGTGAGGGACATGGTCCCAGGGAGCTGGTTTATTGGAGGCTGGCTCCTCTGAAGGAGGGGCCGGGTGTCTGTGGCCAAGGCAAGGGGCACGCACCTTGTCATACCAGCACCGGATGCTGAGCTGGCCGCACAGGCAGTTGGAGCTAGAGCAGTCGTCCACACACGTGCAGTGCTGGGGCGAGGAGGCAGGGGTCAGCTCAACCCCATGATCGGTCTGGGCCCCTCTACTCTTGATGCCCCCTGACCCCCTAACCACTGTCCTTTCTTTGGGGTCCATGTGTTACAACAGTGGGTGGTGATGGTCCTAGGGTGACGGGTAATCAGTATGGTGGTGTCCCCAGGGCTACTGGGAGCTCATATGATACCTTGCTGTGACCTAGGAAAAGGATCCCTCCCCTGGTGGGGATGCGACCCCACACCAGGGCTCCCTTTCAGCCAACCCTTCCTTGGCCAGGTGCCTTTGCTGGTTTGAAGCTTGTCCAACTGTACTTGGCAGCTCTCGGTGTCCTTTTGGGGAGGCCCCGGGCCCCCTACTCACCTGCAGGTGGGTGATGTTGCGATCGATGTTCATGGTGGACGTCTCGCAGTTCTCTGAGATGTACTTGTAATCCTCAGGGCAGGGCTCCCCATCCACACCGTTGACACAGGGAATGGGCACGTTCTCATAGCCCCGAGCCACGTCCCTGCAGAAGACGGGAAGAAGGGGCTGGGAAGCTGGAAAAGGGGGTGAGGAGCTACTCCAGGTATAAGGAAGAGAGTTGGGGAGGTTCCTGGGGCTGGGGGCAGGGGAGTAAGGTTGCCAGGTAAGATGCAGGACAGCGAGTTAACATAGAATTTTAGATAAACAAGAAATAGCTTTTTAGTATGTCCCAAAAATTACACAGGACATTCTCACACTAAAAAAGTATGCATCTGTGCATCTGAAATTCCAGTTTAACTGGGTGTCTTCTATTTTTATTTGCTGTATCTGGCAACCCTAGTGGGGAGGGGGCCTGTGGGTGGTTCTGGGGATTCAGTGGTGCATGGGGAGGGGTTGGGGAATGTTGTGAGGATGCAATGGAGCCTGGGGAGGGTATGGGTGGGGAGGAGGTGGTCTTGGGTGCAGAGAGGGGCCCAGGGCTCACCGGCAGATGATCTTCTCTGTGCGGATGGCCCGATTTCCCACCCCAAGTCGGAGCTTGCGGTTGAGTTGAAGCGCAAACCACACGTCGGAGCGCTCGGGAGTCAGGTCCCATGCTGTGTCCCCCTCTTTGTTCCGCAGCTCAGGGTTGGCCCCACGTGACAGGAATAACCTGAAGAGGGGACAGGATGCCCAATGCAGGGTCTGAGGCTGCAAGAAGTGGGGGCAGGGGCATCAAGGGCGGGGCAGGGGCTCACAGCACGCAGTCATGGTAGCTCTCCCGAGCTGCGATGTGCAGGGGGGTGTCCCCATGGTAGTTGACAGCATGGAGGTCACAGCGCGCATTCAGAAGGACTTCGGCGATGGCGGCGCTGCCCGTGAAGGAGGCCCAGTGCAGGCAGATGTTCTCCTCCTGTGGAGGTAGGAGGGGAACAGATGAGGTGCAGGCAGCTGGGCCCTTGAATCCAGCCTCCACCTTGCTCAGGGGCCTGGGGCTGCCCTACCTCAACCAAACGCTCACTCACGTTGTCAGTGAGGGTGACGTCGGCGCCCCGCGTCAGTAGCATGCGGATCACCTCGATGTGCTTGTGCTCTGCAGCCCAGATGATGGGCGTCCACCCCCCACTGTCCTGTGGGTGGGAAGGGAGTGAGGGTGGGGGCAGCTGGCCCTGCTCACCAAAGCAGCAAATGGTCAAGATTGGCTGTGTGTGTGAATCCCAGCTCCACCATTCACAAGCTGTGGGACCCTGGGTAAGTCACTTAACGTCTCTGGGTCGCAGTTTCTTCATCTAAAAAATGGGACTAGTAGGGTCGGGCGCGGTGGCTCATGCCTGTAATCCCAGCACTTTGGGAGGCCGAGGCGGGCGGATCACGAGGTCAGGAGATGGAGGCCATTGTGGCCAACACGGTGAAACCCTGTCTCTACTAAAAAATAGAAAAAATTAGCTGGGCGTGGTGGCAGGCGCCTGTAGTCCCAGCTACTAGGGAGGCTGAGGCAGAATGGCGTGAACCCGGGAGGCGGAGCTTGCAGTGAGCCAAGATCGTGCCACTGCACTCCAGCCTGGGCGACAGAGCAAGACTCCGTCTCAAAAAACAAACAAACAAAAATGGGACTAGTAGCGTCTACCATCTGATGCCAGAGAGAAAATAAAGTAATTGTTCTCTTTCCAAAAAATACAGCCAGGAGCTGGTCATGGAGGTGCATGCCTGTAGTCCCAGCTACTCATGTGACTGAGATGGGAGGGTTGCTTGAGCCCAGGATTTCGAGGCTGCAGAGAGCTATGACTGTCTGTGAACTGCTACTGTACTTCAGCCTGGGTGACATAGCAAGACCCTGTCTCTTAAAAGAAAAAACGAACAAAAATTTCCTAAGTCTGCCCACTCAAAAGTCCTAGAAGCAGCGACAACCCAATAACAATAAACACTCCTAGGAACATAGATTGTATTCTCTAAAAAATGCTTCTGGCCGGGCGCTGTGGCTCACGAGGTCAGGAGTTCAAGATCAGCCTGGCCAATATGGTGAAACCCCGTCTCTACTAAAAATACAAAAATTAGCCGGGCATGGTGGTGGGCGCCTGTAATCCCAGCTACTCGGGAGGCTGAGGCAGGAGAATGGCGTGAACCTGGGAGGCGGAGCTTGCAGTAAGCTGTGATCACGCCATTGCACTCCAGCCTGGGCAACAGAGTGAGACTCCGTCTCAAAAAAAAAAAAAAAAGTTTCCCATAAAGGAAGCAGAGTTTCTTAGAGAAATGGTGGATTCTGAGTTGGGGGCAGGAAATGTGCTGAAAGGTCAGGAGGCTCTCAAAGGCCACTGGGCCACTGGGTCATGTCACAGCCACAGAGGCCTCTTAAAGGGGCTTCTTCTGGACAATGATGGAATAATTCAAAGACTGAGAAGAATGCCAATAAATGACTAAAACACATCCAATGTATGACAACCCAAGAGTTAATAAAAAGCCTCACTGGACACTTTCAGAGATTAAGACAGGAACTGATTATTCTGAAACTTGATAAAGAGAAAGAAACGAGAAAGAAAAGAATGAAGAGAAATACAAATGAGGAAGAAGAAAGCAATGAGGACAGACACGAGCAGTGTGAGGTCAGATGTAGGAAAGGCGGCCCAAAGCCTGAGGCCAAGCCAAGGAACCCAGGCACCAGGGACCCAGAGGGGCTGGGCTGGGTGGGCCGCTGACCTGGGCGTTGACGTCCACCTGTCCTGTGCTCAGCAGCAGGCTGACCATCTCCAAGTTCCCGATTTTGGCTGCGTGGTGGAGGCAGGTGGAACCGTCCTCCTCCTGAGGGAGACACGGGCAAATGAGCCTTTGGGCTGGCACCCCAAACCTGGTCCCTGACTCCGGGGGCCACGCCCTGCTGCCTGCGCGCACACCTTGCTATAGACACAGCCACCACGCTGCACCATGTAACGGGCTACCTCCAGGTGGTTGTTCACCACGGCCTCCATCAGTGGCGTCCGCTGCTGTTTGTCCACTGCATTTATGTTGGCTCCAGCCTGTGAGGGGGCAGGAGGGCTGGCACCAGGGAGGCATGGGGCAGGGGAGGGGCCTAAGGGCCTGGTGAATGAGGCATGGGGCCGGGCCCGTGCTGACCTGCAGCAGCACATGGCAGATCTCCACGGAGCCCTTCTGGGCGGCTGCATGCAGGGGCGTGCGCTTGCTCTGCTGGTCGCTCTGGAAGTTGGGGTCCAGGTTGTCCACTGCGGGGAGAGCCCGCCACACCGGGAGAGGGAGGGACAAGTGGTAAGCAAGCTAGGGGGCAGGTGGCACTTCTTTCAGGAAGGCTTCTCAGGGCCCCAAGCTGGATCAGGGCCCCTCCTGGCATTCTCCGAGCTTGCCTCCACCACAGCATTTATCAGAATAAGGAGTCAAAGGCATCAGCTCTGCCTGAATTCAAACCCTGCCTTGCTTCTCAGTACCACTGTGCACTGTGCAAGGTCCCTAACCTCTCTGTGCAAGCCAAGGCTAACAGGTATAAGCACTCAGAACAGGACCCAGCACCTATGAGTCACCACATCCCCATCGTTATGGGTTACATGTGTCTTTTCCCCACCACACTAAGTCCTTCAGGGCAAGGACTGTGTCCTTCACGACTGTACTCCTGGCCCTGTACCCAGTGCCTGGTATATACATGAAGCTTGGTCAAGGTCTGCTGAAGGAATGGGTGGCACTCACACAGCATCAGGATCACCTTCTGCAGCTCGCCCTGCTTCACGGACAGGTACAACTGCCGAGGGTGGAAACGGAGCTTCTTCCGCCTGCCAAGGGAGCACGGGAGCGGGGAGAGAAGGGGAGCTCCTCAGATTCCAGCATCAGCCTCGACACCACTCCTCTGGCCTCAGCCCCAGTTGCTGTGCCTGAGCAACTCCCCACTCACCTCTCTGACTCCTGGATGACCAGGGCCTTTTCCAGGGCCTCCCGGCCTGGCCCCAGTGGCAGCCCCACGGCTGAAAGGCAGCCCCCATTGGGCAGGGTCAGGGAGGGCCCTGAGCTGTCAATGGTGTCAGCCAGGGGATCGCAGGGCGGGCGCCGGGGTTCCCCATGCCCTCGCATCCGGGCACTGTGGAAGAAGGAGCTCATGTCCAGGAGCAATAGGGGTGGGGGAGGGAACAGACAGTACAGAAGGGGGAGGCCAGTACCTGGGCTGAGAAGTGTCTGCTCTCCCGGGGACATCCTGGGACAGGGGTGGGGGTGCAGGAGCTGCAGTGCCGGCCGGTGGGGTCACCCCGTCACCCCGGGGGATGGTCACCTCTTGAGCTTCAGAAGCATCCTCCCCACAGTGGGGACAGAAGACCATCCCATTCAGCTGAGACACACAGGCCTTGTGGAAGCGGTGGGCCACACGGAAGTCAGGGTGGCACTCCAGGAAGGTGCCCTGGGAGCAGGGAAACGACATGGTCAGGTTACTGGGGCCCCCTCTGCCACAGGGCATGCTACCTGTCTGCCCCACTGGTCACTCACCGCCGTGCAGAAGTAGCCGCAGCCCGGGCAGCAGTGGTGTTTGACCATGCGGGCGCGGTGGGTCTCACAGAGCACCATCAGGGCCACACGGCTGGATGGCCTCATGGTCTCCCGCTTGAGGATGGCGGCATTGCAGCCTGACAGCTGTGCGCAGTGAGGATGGGTGAGAAGAGAGCGTGAGGCTGGGGCCGGGGACTGGACGCCCTGGCACCTCTCCCACCAGCCCACGGCCCCACCTCTCCGTCCACACTCTCAGTGGCCATGCACTTGTGCCCCGCCCTCTCGCTGATGCGGTCAATCTTGGGTGCCTCCATGCGGCAGCTGCACAGGGGCAACTCCTCAAACCCTCGCTCTGTCTCCAGCGAAGATGTGTCATTGGACACCCCTTGGATGGAGGAAAAGAGGAGCTGAGGGAGGCTCTGCACCTCACCTACTGGGACCCCTGGCGGGTCCTCTCACTCCCTCCCTACCCCACCCCGCCATGCCCCAGAACCCCTAAAGCCTGGCCATGGACACCCCGGCTCTGGCGTGGTTCCCCTCCTTCCCTTTCCCTCCTGCCCTGAGGTCGCCCCCTAGTGGCTCCCTGTCCCGGCAATTGGCAATTACCAGCGTGGTTGGGGGAGAGGGTCCCCTCGCTGGGCAGCTCCAGGGACCCCAGAGGGACCTCCATGTACTCACTGGGGCCTGAGGAGCCCACACCATTCACTCCTGACACAGAGACAGAGAGAGTGAGAGTGCGAGCTCACAGGTGCCTGGACGCGTGGGTACATGCAGGTGGACATGCGAGAGCGTGTGTGTGCGTGCACACACTCTGGGGGGCCGGGCGGGGGCTGGAGGGCACCCAAAAGCAGCAGAGCCTCCTCACCTCGTGGCTCCTTGGCCCGCGGAGGCTCCCGCTTGCGCCGTTTCCGAGACGGCTTCACCCATGGGCTGTCTTTTCGCCATTTCTTCTTGGCCTTGCGCCGGCCACTGGAACCACTCTGGGAAGGGGGAGGAGGAGGAGTTAGGAACCCTCACCCCCAGGGGCCCCCCCAACACCTTCAGGACCAGACCTCCAGCCCCATAGTCTCCCACTCCTCTGGAGATATCAGCCTCCGTCTCTTACCCTATCTGACTGATTCCCTGACTCCTCATCTTCCTCTTCTTCTTCCTCTTCCTCCTCCTCTTCCTCTTCTTCTTCTTCCTCCTCTTCCTCCTCCTCCTCTTCACTTAGTTGTTCAGTTAGAGCTTCAACTTCAGACTGGGAGAGAGGCAGAACAGACATATCCAACCCCCAGGACTCAGACAATGAGGTGAGTAAAGAAAACCACCACCACCATTGCCCCCCGCCACTACCCACGGATGGCTGCTGGGGATAAGTGTGGGTAGCAGAGGAGACAAAGGGCCACATAAAGAGAGGGTGCATGGAATATTACACAGCAGTGAAAAAGTTACAGACAGCAATGTGCACAGATCTTGGTAATGTGATATTAAGTTAAAAAACAAAAAGCAAGTACCAGAAGATAAACATACTTTGATACCCCTTTTATGATGTTCATAAACAGGCAAGACCACCAATGGTTGCTAAAAACACTAGACACAAAGCTCATGAGAAACTTTATATGAAAGGTTCAGGCTGACATCACCTGAACCCACTGGTCAATCTTATCACTAACAAGAAAAATGACCAGATTAGATGTTCCATGCATCCTGATGTGATGTGGCCAGAAGCACTTGCACCCACTGTCAAGTCTTCTTGGCACCTGAAGCTGATTCCGCCTCTAGATCTATCAGTTTACAAGAAATATGGGCAGAGAGGATGTGTCAATCTCCACCCAATCAGCCAACTCCTAAATGTGAAAAATTCTGTAGGACAACTGAGCTGGTTTCTTTGACAAATAAATGGCAAAAAAAAAAAATCTTTCTTATTTATTTATTGAGTTTTGCTCTTGTTGCCCAGGCTGCATTGCAATGGTGTGATCTCAGCTCACTGCAACCTCCACCTCCTGGATTCAAGCAATTCTCTTGCCTCAGCCTCCTGAGTAGCTGGGATTATAGGCACCCGCCACCACACCCAGCTAATTTTCGTATTTTTATTAGAGATGTGTTTTCACCATGTTGGCTAGGCTGGTCTCAAACTCCTGACCTCAGGTGATCCACCTGCCTCCCAAAGTGCTGGGATTACAGGCGTGAGCCACCACGCCTGGGCCAAAAAATTTTTTTTTAGAAGATGAGGAAATCAGGCCAGGTGTGGTGGCTCACGCCTGTAATCCCAGCGCTTTGGGAGGCCGAGGTGGGCAGATCACGAGATCAGGAGTTTGAGACCAGCCTGGCCAACATAGTGAAACCCTGCCTCTACTAAAAATACAAAAAATTAGCTGGGCATGGTGGTGGGTGCCTGTAATCCCAGCTACTTGGGAGACTGAGGCAGGAGAATTGCTTGAACTCAGGAGGTGGAGCTTGCAGTGAGCCAAGATCACGCCACTGCACTCCAGCCTGGGTGACAGTGTGAGACTCCATCTCAAAAAACAAAAACAAACAAACAAACAAACACAAAGAAGATGGGGAAACCTAAATACTGAGAGAGACCTAAGACAAAAAAAAATTTTTTTTTTTTTGAGACGGAGTTTCGCTCTTGTTGCCGAGGCTGGAGTGCAATGGTACGATCTTGGCTCACTGCAACCTCCACCTCCCAGGTTCAAGCGATTCTCCTGCCTCAGCCTCCCGAGTAGCTGGAATTACAGGCACGTACCACTACGTCCAGCTAATTTTGTATTTTTTTCAGTAGAGACGGGGTTTCTCCATGTTGATCAGGCTGGTCTCGAACTCCCAACCTCACGTGATCTGCCCGCCTTGGCCTCCCAAAGTATTGGGATTACAGGCGTGAGCCACTGTGCCTGGCTGACCTAAGACAAATGTTAATCAAATCAAGGTGTGGGCCTCATTTGGATCTTGACAAAAACCATTTGTGAGAGCTGAGGAAATGTGAAGACTGACAGGATATTTGATGGTATTAAGAAATCGGTAAGTTTTTTTAGGTGTGAAAACAGTAGTGTAATGATGTTGAACGACAAAAAGAGGCCTTATATTTACAAATCTATATGGATATATGTTTAGGTAAAATGATATGAGGTCTGGGATTTGCTTTAAAATAACCTAGTAGGTGTGTGTGCTGGGAGATGTACAGATGGGTCAAGATGGACTGTGTACTGATAATGGCTGGAGCTGTGTATTGGGTACATGGGGGCTCCCTATTCTACTCTTTTGATTATGCTTGCAAGTTTTCATGATAAAATGTTAAATAAAAGGCAAAATCAGAGAGACTAAACATTCTACTGTGTAGGCAAACATATAAGATAAAACCAGACAAAGAGCAACGAAATAAGCAAATAAATGACAATGCAATGCTTTTGAATTTTATATAAACAGCATAACGTATGTTTTAAAAAAGTGCTTTCTGGTCATTTCTTTTTTTGTTTTCTTTTTTTAAACAGTACATGTCTGTTAAATGGTCATTTCATTAGCTGATTAAAAAAAAAAGAATACTAAATCCCATGTGCAGGGTGGTGGCCACCTTTGTGGATGAAACGGGCAGAATACACATTGAAAATGAGTTACAGCTGGGCGCGGTGGCTCACAGCTGTAATCCCAGCACTTTGGGAGGCCAAGGTGGGTGGATCAACTAAGGTCAGGAGTTAGAGACCAGCCTGGCCAACACAGGGAAACCCCGTCTCTACTAAAAATACAAAAATTAGCCGGGCGTGGTGGCAGGTGCCTGTAATCCCAGCTACTCGGGAGGCTGAGGCAGGAGAATTGCTTTAACCCTGGAGACAGAGGTTGCAGTGAGCCCAGATCGTGATATTGCGCTCCAGCCTGGGCGACAGAATGAGATTCCGTCTCCCCCCACAAAAAAAAGGAGTTATAGACAGCATGGGGCAATGACTTAGTGGATATTCAGAAGATAAAAAGGACAGAAAGCAGAAAAACAGGGAACAAGGAGGACTGGACAGTGAGCCCCAGCCCTGGGGGAGCACCGGCGGGGAGGGCAGACCAGCTCTGTCTCACCTTGCTGTCGGAGTCCACGCGCTCATCCACAGAGTAGGAATCATAGTAGAGACTGAAGTCATCACCCACCACCGTCTCCCACTCCTCCAGGGACCCGGGGTCCCCTTTCGTCAGGGTCACTTCTCCTGAACGCCGGGCAGAACCTAACTCCTCTGACTAGAAAAAGATCAGAAAAATTGAGGCCACTGACACCCTGCGCATTTCTACTGAGGATGGGATGCAGCCCCACCTCTGACCCTCCCTCAGAGCAGCCCCCGAGGGGTAGAGGCTCTGCCTCTGCTGCTTACCAGGCCACCTCCTGAGTTCAGCTTCCTCCTTTTGGCCAGATCTGGAAGAAGAGAGAGAATGGTGTGGGGCCTATCACCGAAACCTTCAGAACAGACCACATCAAGCCACCGGGGGTGGGGGATGGGACTGACCTGAGGTCACCTTTCCCAGTGAGTGGACATCATCACTCATGCGGAAATGCTGTATTTCAGGGGGCCGCTTCTCAGGGACCGGGGGCTGTGGGCCGAGAGGGAGCACACTGAGGGTCAGAGAGCACCTACAGTTTTGCCTGGGTTAGCCTGGAGCCCCAGGCGGGGGTGGGGTAGTGAGCCACACCTCCAAATGCCATGTGAGGCTCCAGTAGCCACAAACTGGCAACCACGGGTGCTATTTCCTCAGAGGAAGAGTGTCAAGCACACTAACACTCACTCATCTCTGCAACCATGCAGAGCAGGCCCTTTTCCATTTTACAGATGAGAAAACAAAGCTTAATAAAGTTAAAAGACCTTTTATATGTGGCCATATACACAGCAGGACTGTTTACAACAGCTGAGGTGCGGAAGCAACTCAAGTGCCACTGACAGATGAATGGATAAGCAAAATGTGGCATTTATACACAATGGAATAACATTCAGCCATAAAAAGGAAAGATATACTTTTTTTAAGAGATAAGGTCTCATTCTGTTACCCAGGATGGAGTGCAGTGGCATGACTATGGCTCACTTCAGCCTCGAACTGGACTCAAGCCATTCTCCTCCCTCAGCTTCCTGGGAAGCTGGGATTACAGGCACATGTCACAATGCCTAACTAATGTCTTCTTAATTTTTTTTTTTGGTAGAGAAGAGGTCTTGCCATGTTGCCCAGGCTGGTCTTGAACTCCTGGTGTCAAGTGATCCTCCCCAGAAAGTACGGGATTACAGGCGTGAGTCACTGGGCCTGGCCTTTGAAACATTCTTTTAAACTTCTTTTAGAGATGGGGTCTTGGTATGCTGCCCAGGTGAAAGGAAAGAAATTCTGACATGGTACAACATAGATGAACCTTGAGGACATTATGCTAAGTGAAATAAGCCAGTCACAAAAGGATAAATACTGTATGATTACACTTAGATAAAGTACTTACTCAAATTTATAGAGAAAGAAAGGACAGTGGTCCTTGCCAGGGGCTAGGGGGTGGAGGGAATGGAGAGTTATGTTTTAATGGGTACAGAGTTTCAGTTTTACAAGATGAGTTATGGTGACTGATGATTGCACATGATGAAAGTATTTAATACCATTAAATTATATACTTAAAAATGTTTTTTATTTTATTTTTAAATTTTTAGATGGAGTCTCACTCTGTTGCCCAAGCTGGAGTGCAGTGGCGCGATCTCAGTTCACTGCAGCCTCTACCTCCCAGGTTCAAGCGTTTCTCTCACCTCTGCCTCCTGAGTAGCTGGAACTACAGGCACATGCCACCACGCCCGGCTAATTTTTGTTTTGTTTTTTTTTTTGAGACAGAGTTTTGCTCTTGTTGTCCAGGCTGGAGTGCAATGGCAGGATCTCGGCTAACTACAACCTCTGCCTCCTGGATTCAAGCGATTCTCCTGCCTCAGCCTCCCAAGTAGCGGACTGTTACAGGCATGTACCACCATGCCCGGCTAATTTTGTATTTTTAATAGAGATGGGGTTTCACCATGTTCGTCCGGCTGGTCTCGAACTCCTGACCTCAGGTGATCCACCTGCCTTGGCCTCCCAAAGTGCTGGGATTACATGCGTGAGGCACCCCGCCTGGCCTAATTTTTGTATTTTTAGTAGAGACAGGGTTTCACTATGTTGGCCAGGCTGGTCTCAAACTCCTGACCTCAGGTGATCCTCCCGCCTCGGCCTCCAAAGTGCTGAGATTACAGGCGTGAGCCACTGCGCCTGGCCTAAAATTGTTTTTTAGATGGTAAATTTTACGTGACACTAGTCCCCTCTTATCCAGTTCATCAGCAGTGATGGTGGCATATTGTTAGAATTGTGCTATTTTTTTTGAGTCTCGCTCTGTTGCCCAGGCTGAACCGCAGTGGCGCGATCTTGGCTCACTGCAAGTGATTCTCCTGCCTCAGCCTCTCGACTAGCTGGGATTACAGGCGCACGCCACCACACCTGGCTAATTTATTATTATTATTATTATTTTAGTTAGAGACGGGGTTTGGACATGTTTACCAGGCTGGTCTCGAACTCCTGACCTCAAGTGATTGCCGGCCTTGGCCTCTGAAAGTGTTGAGATTATAGGCAAGCCACGCCTGGCCTACTGTTAGGATTACGCTATTATGTTATTATTGTTGTTAATCTCTCACTGTACCTAATTTATAAATTCAATTTTCCTTTTCTTCCCTATTCTTTACAAAATGAATTGCAACTATAAAAATTAATGTTTATCATAGTGAGAAAGGAAAGGTAGCTCATAGCAACCTGTGCTATGTGAAGCAGGCAAAATTGATCAGGCTCAGCGAGAAGTCAGCATGGAACGGTTAGGGCCCATGCCTGGAGGCAACTGCTTAAAGGCATTTTGTACCTGACTAGGGTGCTGCTTCACCCATTATCTTCATGTGCCTAATATCTGTGAGACAAAGAACAATGTATAGCAGATCAATAGCTTGTTATTCTAATGTAAACTGGTAAACAATTTAGGAACTGCCTCTTCTTTTCCTTTGTTA
Organism: Homo sapiens; assembly: GCF_000001405.40. Taxonomy (NCBI): domain Eukaryota; kingdom Metazoa; phylum Chordata; class Mammalia; order Primates; family Hominidae; genus Homo; species Homo sapiens. The sequence goes on from NT_167245.2 coordinate 3,143,129, forward strand.
TTTCTTCAATCTTTTAAAAAATTTTTATCTTTTTTTTTTTCTTTTTGCGGCTCCTTCCAGAGCAGGGCTAACTCCTACGCAGTGTGCCCAGAGTCAGCCTGTTTTTTTTCAATATCTTCACGTCATCCAATCTTCTTTTCCTTTAAAAACCTACTTGTGGGCTGGTTGTGGTGGCTTGCACCTGTAATCCCAGCACTTTGCGAGGTCAAGGCAGGAAGATTGCTGAAGCCCAGCAGTTTGAGACCAGCCTGGGCAACATAGTGAAACTGTCTTCAAAAACAAAACAAAACAAACAAAAAAACCCCTACTTATAACTGCTGCTAATCAGAGTGTATTTTCACGGCAACTTGAATCTTTGCTCCTAAAGGCTGTCCTCAAAACCTGACCAAATATACTTTACTTAATGTTAAGTTTGCCTCAGTTTTTTCCTTTAGGTCAACAATAGGTATGACCCAAGAACCCTAGAACTTGGTCATAAAGCTTCTGGTGCCCTTGTCACTTCCCTCCTCTATTATTTCTGTGGCCCTCATCTCCTTTCCCACTGGGATTCCCAGGAAAAACTTTACAAATAGAGCAGTGACAGATGAGTTCCCCAAGGGCTTGCTTTGAGGTAGAAAGGAAGAGTGGTTTGAAATTCCCTTACCTTGTCATTATCATAAGAGTAATTAAGACATTAACTATATAATTGACTCTTTAACATCAAACTTTCACCACCCAAGAATGTAAACTGCAGGAAGAGAGGAACCTGTCTGTTGGTTCACAGATCAAGCACAGCCTAATATTTGACACACAGCAGCCCCTTGCTTAAATATGTGAATGAGTAAATGGAGTAGAAGCCTTAAGTGAAACTGTAAAAGAGCTCACCAAAGGTTTATGGTTGATTATCCCATCTCTCCCATCCCACTCACCTGTCCATTTCCTGGTTTGGACATGGTTTTGCGGGCTCGGTGGACCTTGGGCTGTCCCTCTGGGCTCGTGGTGGCTGGAGGGGGTTCAGACCCTGCTGCTGCAGCTCCCTGGGCTCCTGGCATACTCAGTAGCCTCATAGCCAAACTCTGGACAGATGGAGGTGATTTTCCCGCCCCTGTCATTGACATCTTGGCCCGGCTAGGACAGGAACCCCCCTTGCTGGGGGAAGAGGGGAATGACTTTGTGGCATGGCCTAGAAAACAGGCAAGCAAAAGGCAAGATAAGAAAGAAGGCAAGAGTCAGAAATTTCCCACCAACCCCCCAGGCTACCCAGCCTCTCACCCAGCAGGATCCGGCCCCCACGGAGGTCCCCATCTCCCTCAAGATTCTCAGATTCATCCCCAATGAGTGGTGTAGCCCCTACAGGGGTGTCAGCCCCCTCATCACCAACAGTGACAGTGACAGAGGCTGGAGATGAGGGGCCAGCAGGCTCCAGGGAGTCGGGGGTGGCCTTGGGCAGGGTTTCTTCACTACGAGGGGTGTCCCCCAAAGAGCCATGAACTGTAGAGGAAGAGAAAAAGTTCAGAGCTAAGGGCTCAGGAGATCCTGTGTTTAGGGAAGGTGACGGTCCAATTGGGGCCCGTTTTAGCTGCACTCACCTCTCTCGGTGGCTCCTCTGGTTTCCTTCTCCAGCAGCAGCGCCCCCATCTCAGCGGGGGCCTCCCCCTGGGAGGGGAGACAAGGGACAGGAGGGCTGGTCAGCCCAGTAGAGAGTTGGGGGGTCCAGGATGCCTGGGCCCTGGGAAGAGAGAGTAGGCTCCGGGGCCTACCTCTTCCTCTGTGGGGCCCCCCCCTTCCGCGGCCTCGGCTGCCCGGAGGGGCCGCACGACCCCTCCCCCGGGCCCGCATCAACCCCCTCCCTCTCGGTAGACCCCGCATCTCTGGGGCCGAGAGAAGAGGAGGGGGAGGGGGCGGGGCCTCCGCGCCCCGGCCCCGCCCCCTCCTCCCGGCTGCACGCGCCGCTCCCCCTTTGTCCCCCAGGCCGCGGGGACCCCGGGCACCAACCCCTCCAGCACCCGCTGCCCCCCAGCCCGGTGGACGGCCCCTCGTGCCCCTCACGCGTGCTCCTGGGGCCCCGGCGCCCGTCGCCCACTCAGGGGCAGCCGGCGGCTGCACGCGCGCCTCCGTGCCCACTCCCCCCACCTCCCACACCCTGGTCCCCTCATCCGCCCCCGGTGCTGGCCCCCTGGATTGCTGCAAGTCCCGCCCGGGCCCCCCGGCCCCGTTGCACCCCCGGAGCATTGCACGGGCGCGCGCTTCCCCCGGGCGCGCGCGCGGGCATGCACCCGCCTCTCCCCCTCCCCTTCCGCACCTCGGCGGCCGCCGCCGCTGCAGCTCCCGCCGCCGCCGCCATCGCCGCTTGCGCTGGGGGCCGAGCCGGCGCGCGGCCGCCCCGGGTCACGTGGGCGAGGGAGGGAGGGCGAGGAGGAGCCTTAAAGGAGCCGCTACATGCTTTTTGGCCATTTTCCCCTGAGAGCGGCCTCGGAGATGGCTGTGACTGTCCTAAGCTGGGAGCTGCAAGGGAGAATTCCTGTCATTCCTGGCCTCAGTTCTGCAGGGACCGAGGGCGAGACACGCCTGGGCCCAGGTGTGGCGTCTCTGTCCCCATCTGGTTTTAGGTAACAAGCGGAGCTTCTGAACTTCTCGGCTCTCGGCAGCGGCTGTATTTCCTCTGGCCTGGTTGGGCTTTTCCCGCCTCTGGTTGCTTTTCTGCCTTTCTAGTTTTTGGGTTACCAGATAGAAGGCTTGGCCTCAGTTTTGGCCTCGCCTTTTTGCTCTTTCTAACGAGCACGAAGGGGCGATAGGGACGCGGAGGACACCTTTATTCTTGGCTGGTTCTAGCATGCTGCTTCATGTCCCCTGGAGCAGCGTGCCCTTCTGAAAACCTGTGGCTAAATGTCTCTTCTGTTTATATCAGGCGTGTTACACCTTCACACGCACTAGGGATCCAGGTAAGCCCAGCGGCCCGAACGTCATTACTGACTGGTGACACTGCAGTAAGTAAACCTTTTTTGCCGAACACTTCATAAGCACAGTCAGGTACTCCGTGGGTCATAGCCCAGCGGACAATTTAAGTATAAATGATATACACCAAGATAGACAATCTCGATAGCTGTATTTAGGGTACCATCCCTTTAGGTATTACGTTTTGGTCGAGTTTGGAAAAGATCTGTATGATTTCACACGCAGTATTTGACACAGGCAGGTGGGGCACCTGAGGCCAATTAAAGGCCTTCTGGGAACTGTAGTTCTCTTTGGTTAACTATTCCAGAGCTTTCTGGGAATTGTAGTTTTCCCTGCACCTTAATCCAAACTTAGCTTTTTTTTTTTTTTTTTAGCTTTCCTGAAGACATGACCTATTTACCCCAGACAAAATATGACCAAACAGACTCCTGCTTACAATTTCCGTGGGCAGGTTGGCCACCTGTAGCTCATCCCTAGCACTGATCCTAAGTCCCTCAAATAGAGTTCATGTGCATCCCCACGACTGCCAATCACTTGTACTGTGAGGTACCTGGCTAAGTGTTGAGATTGCAGAACTGGTGGAGGGCTGGGGGTGGGGACTTGGGGGAGTCCCTGACCAGAGGAGCTCACTTGTCACACTCCTCTCCCATGTTTAGGGCTGGGCTCCTTCAGGCAAGGGATATGCAGAGTTGTGACCTCTAGGTATTAAGAACGCAGCATCACAGGGAGAGGCTGTCTAGGGCAGGATAGTCATGTACACGCAGTTGCCAGAGTGTAAAGGAAAAAAAAAAGTTTTTTTTTGTTTTTTATTTTGTGGAAAACAAAAGCAGAAAAACTAAAACCCCAAACTCCAGAAAAAATCCTAAAAAATATGTTTTTTCTTAAAAAATACTGTATGTCTCTACTCCTCTCCCTCCCTCCCAACAGCCCTTCTTGTGTTCTTTCTTTTCTAAGTGCCCTATCCCCCCCACCCCCATGACTATCCATTGTTTCTTGCTATTGTACCCCCACTTCCCAATATCTACCCAGGATGCGCACCCCACGTTCTCTTACCTGGCGTCTTACTTTGTTCTCCCTCAAATTTCAGCAAGCCTCATACTCGCAGTCTCATTTCCCCAGCATGCAAGAACTGTCTCCCACTTCCTTTTCTGGGACTCAGTAATCTTTTCCCCTTACCACTCCCTCACCCCAGGTCTATTCTAAGCAGGAGCATGTCCTCCTGCCAAATTCCCTCCCTGTTCCCACCCACCCCCCAACCCTTCTTATCTCGAGAAATGTCAGAACCTTCCCCTGGGCAGCCTTAGCCAGGAATAAAACATTTTTGTCTTCCCTCATTCTATAGGACCCTTTTCCCTCCCTCCACATATACATGCACTTCTAAGAGAAGGAAATCTTTCTCTGGGACCCCGTATTCCCCTGGCCTCCAAGAACCCTTTTCCCAGCTCCAGATTCTTGCACTCTCAAGAGCAAGTCTCTCCAAGGAATCATCTTCCCTCTCTCAGGATGTGTGCATCTGCTCAGCCTCCCACTCTTACCTTTCTGCCCCAGACCCCCCACCCCCCAATTCTCCTGGGCCAAAGAGCCCTTTTTCCACGCAGCCCAGGGGCCCCAGCCTCCTGGCCTCCACGCCTGCGCGGCTAGCGGATGAGGACGTTAATCTCGGCCACACTGGCCTCCAGCACGTTCTCGGCCGTGGTCTTGCCGTGTTGCTCCTTGAGGTGCCGCCTAATGGCAGGCTTGTGGGCGAAGCGCACGTCGCAGTAGGAGCAGCGGTAGGGCCGCGCTCCCGAGTGCAGGTTGAGGTGGTCGTGAAGGGTGGACTTCTGTGTGAAGCACTTGCCGCAGATGCCGCACGAGTGTGACTTGACACCACGATGCACGTTCATGTGGCGGTTGAGGTTGCTGCTGTGGTTGAACTGCTTGCCACAGCGAGGGCACATGAAGATGAAGTGCTGCGCCCGCATGTGGAAGACCAGCTTCTCCACGCCCTGGAACACTTCCGGGCACTTGGTGCACTTGATGTTCTTTAAGGGGTTTCCACCTGAGAAGCCCCCAGGCAGGGGTCCCCGGCTGCCCCCCGCCCCCAGGCTGCCCCCCGCCCCCCGGGCAGCCATGGCCACCGCTGCTGCTTCCACCAGGCCCGAGGTGGCCCCCACGCTGGCCCGGCCTCCGGGAATCAACAGCAGGCCCTCCCCTTCTGCATCTTCCGACAGGCTATAGCAGGCCTTCACCACACCCTGCGGTGGGGCTACAGTGCTGGGGGGAACGCTGCTCTGGGCCAGCTCCCCAAGGTGGCCACCCACGGAGCCTCCAATGCCCAGACCCCCTCCCAGGCCTCCAGGGGGTTTGAGCCGGTGTGCCACCTCCAGGGCCGACTCCACCTTGACGATGCAGATGTCAGACACGTCCTCATCCTCATCCTCATCCTCTTCCTCGGCTTTCAGCTCCAAGTCTTCATCCAGTGGGAACTCCAGCTTCACTGGCCGCAGGAGTGGAGGGGGTAGAGGAGGTGGGGGTGGGGGCTTCGGGGCTGGCTTTGGGGTCCTGGCTGGAGGGAGGAGGGACTTGGTGGCGCTGATGCTGCTCACAAGGCTAGCCTCACTGACCCCATCCTCTTTGAGGCCTATTTTGGGCTCAATGAACTGGCTGAGGGCATTCCGGCATTTCTCCACCACGTGCTCCATCTGCAGGTAGGAGGCGGCTGTAAGGTAGTTGACGATGTCCCTAACAGCGAATTCCAAGGCGCCCGTGTAGCAGGAGAGGAGCAAGTCGGCCACGATGCGTGCACTGTGCATCAGGGAGACCTGCAGCTCCGAGCTGGGGTTCAGCAGGAACTGGTCCCGCAGGAAGGGTGAGCAGGCGGCCAAGATGACCTTGTGGCCTCGAAACTTGAGGCTGTCGGCCACAATGGTCACGTCGCAGAACCGCTCCTCTGCCCGGAGCTGGTTCATGTTCCGTAGCGTTGCGGCCTCGTGGCCGGGCAGCTGGAAGCGCAGGACTTCCACCCCAGAGGCCATTGTGGCGGGGGTGGGCAACCCTGGTTGGGAAGGAAACCGGTCAGAGACAAAGGTCTCTGGCTCTCCGAAGCCAAGGCTCCAGGACCCTCGCCCCCATTCTTGCCCAGCCCCCCGGCATCCGATCTCCCGGTCTTCAGATTTCTTCCTCAGTTTCCCCAACCCTGGGGAGGTGCTGTCCCTCTGAGAGGAGGGAGGCGTGGTTCTCGGGGGCGGGGCAGCGGCGTCCACACCCCCCAGCCCAGCAGCCCGCTAGGATGGGGCGAGCCCGCGCGCCCACGGTGGAAGGACGGAGAAAAAGGGGGGCCAGAGGCCTGGGGCTCTGGACTCCAAGGTGGCCCCGGTTGCAGGCTCTTCTCACCCCGCCCCCTTTACCGGCTGCCTCATTCCTCCGCCCCCCCCTTACACGTTTGCACGCGCTTTTCACGTCCTCCCCCCCGCCGCCAGCACGCACCGTGCACGCCCTGCCCCCACGCTCAGAGCTCCGTGGCACGCCCCCCCAGCCCCACGACCCTGAGTGCACGCTCCTCTCACCTGGCCCGGTTCCGCGCGCTGTTTTTTTAATCCCTTATTTTCCCCACCCCCCCCCGGGGCCGGCAGCGACCCCCACACACGGGCAGGGCCTGGGCAGCGCGCAGGCGCGGGGATGCACGGGACGCGCGCGCGCGCGGGGCCGGCTCCGCGTGGGCGTAAGGGGGGAGGGGCGGGGGCGGCTCGTGCCGTGTGTTCCAGGCCCCGCGCGCGCGGCGGCGGCGGCGTCGGCTAGGACTCGGGGAGGAGGAAGAGGGGAGGGAATTAAAGGAGCAGGATCCCCCCTTCCCGACCCCCCTTTCTTCACCAGCACCCCCACGCGGTTAAAGGGCCGGACGGCCTTGCCTCCTCTTTGGCCGGGATTATTTGTCCGCCAGAGCGGAAATACGTTCCACACCCCCCTCTTTCTCGCTCCCCCTCCTCTGTACCTCCAAGCCCCGCGGCCAGTTTGCGCGTGCGTGCCAAGTGCCGCGCGGAGGCCCGCTCACTCGGGCCCGCCCCCCAATCCCGGCTGCCCATGGCGCTACTCGCTCCGCGTCCCCGCGCCCCGCCCGCGCCGCATCCCGCAGCGCGCGCGCGCACCCGTTCTCTCGGCTGCGGGCGCTGCCACCTGCTCCCAGGGGTGGTGCGTCTCCGGTCCAGCTGTGCCGAGCGCTGCCCTGGGTGCATCCGTGGCACCTCTCAGGGCCCCATCCGCCCCGTGGCTAACAGAGCTGTTGGTAGCTATTACCCACGCCTGCCTCCTCTGCTGAGTGTGCTCACAGTTGCTCCAGACACATTCCCAGGCTTTTCCAACTCTTGTAAAGCTAGTAACCGCCTCAGCCCTTCAGGCCTGAAATATGATTTCACTTTCCACAAAGCCAGACGATCCAGTGCCCTCAACTTTCCTCCACTCCATGTCAGTCCTTTAAAATCACACCCGCCCTCCCCTCCATTCTCAGGATTGATCCCAACTTCTTGCCAAGGCAGTCGCCCTCCGCTTGTGCTATCGATGACCTTGCCCATTTCACCTTTAGTATATAATTAACCCTAGGACTAATTTTAATGATGTGATTTATTATGTTAGTATGATTCTACTCTAATCTTCCACCGCTCCGTCCCCCTTATTCCTCACCTCTCCTCCAGACTGACAAGGTCCAGCTCTAAACAAAACTTCCCTTCAACACTGCGCCCGGGCCTTCTCTTTCTCTTGTCTCTCTCAGACTAAGTTATAGTCTCCACAGCTTCAGCGACAGCACTTAGGAGCGTCTTGAAGGCTGGTGCCTTCCCTTCCACTTCCTCGTACCTACACCCACTTCCCCACCTATCCAAGTCCGCGTGAAGATGCCACTGTTTCCTGCCAATTGGATTTCTTTTTTACGTCCTTCAGGAGACTAGTGCGTTTTCCTTACATTTCAATTCTGATGAAGTTTCTTATTATGTGTTCAATATCTGGTTTCCCCATTAGACTATAAACTTCTTGGTTGCAGGAATTATGTTGTGGGTTTTGTTTTGCAAATAAAAATCATGCAATAGGGAGGGTGTGGTGGCTCACGCCTGTAATCCCAGCACTGTGGGAGGCCGAGGCAGGTGGATCACCTGAGGTCAGGAGTTCGAGACCAGCCTGGCCAACATGGTGAAACCCTGACTCTACTAAATATACAAAAATTAGCTGGACGTGGTGGCAGGTGCCTGTAATCCCAGCTACTGGGGAGGCTGAGGCAGGAGAATCGCTTGAACCTGGGAGGTGAAGGTTGCAGTGAGCCTAGATTGCGCCATTGCACTCCAGCCTGGGCGACAGAGCAAGACTCCTTCTCAAAACAAAACACCAAAAAAGGTCATGCAACAAATGATTGTTGAAGTAATTCCTCTTTGGCTCAGCCAGCATCCACCCATAAAAAGTTTGTTCTTGAGCTGAAACTGAATTCTTGAACTCAAGGGATGCTGTTTGGCAGGAGGGTGGAGGCAGCGTAGACAGTGTTTAGGTGGTACCTTGACTTTTTGCCTTTTTCTTTTAAATTCTCTGATTTGTATGCCCGCACCCAGTTCCCTCTGTTGAATCTAAGAGTCTGTTCTAAACTGCTCTCTTTGTATTTAGGCCTTGTAGATTTGAGGAAGAACACCTGATTTTGTGTCAGACGCACCTAGGCTTAAAGCCACATTCCTAGGAGTTTCTGAGCCTACTCTGGCTCAGAAGGCTGCCAGATTCGCAAATCATTAAAAAAATAAAATAAAAGCCCTATTCCTGTACCAAATGAGGCCCACTGGGCAAGTTACTTAATTCTCTGAATCACAGTGTCCTTATCTTTGTCTCCCCCGCCCATCCTTAGCTCATCTGAAAGCATTTTTATCTTGAAGGCCCTGATCTCTCACAGGGCTAATGTGAGGTTTAAATGAGCCTGGCATGCAGTAGTTGCTGAGTAAACAATAGCTCTGTTCTCCTTTTCCTAATCTGGGAAACGGACTATGAAATTTTCAAAAGAATTTTATTTTATTTTAATTAATTAATTAATTTATTTAGCTGGAGTTTTGCTCTTGTCACCCAGGCTGGAGTGCAATAGCACGATCTTGGCTCACTGCAACCTCCGCTTCCCAGGTTCAAGTGATTCTCCTGCCTCAACCTCCCAAGTAGCTGGGATTACAGGTGCCCGCCACCATGCCTAGCTAATTTTCGCATTTTTAGTAGAGACGGGGTTTCACCATGTTGGCCAGGCTGGTCTCGAACTCCTGACCTCGGGTGATCCACCTTGCTCAGCCTCCCAAAGTGTTGGGATTACAGGCGTGAGCCACTGCGCCTGACCCAAAAGAACTTTAAAAATTCTGTTTTTCTATCTCATCTCTTCTTTTCCGCATTGCCAAACTTCTCAGAAGAATAGTTCACATTCCAGTGAGAGCAGAAATACAAAAAGCTGTCAAGTTAAGAATTAGAGTTTGTAAAATTTTGTTTCTTGTCCCTTTCTTGCTACTTTTCCTTTCTAGGAATGTAGATGGGACAGGGGGCCTAACTCAGCCCATGGCTCAAGACAGGTAGTCCTTGGTGGCAGGTGGAGTTGACAGCCAATGAATCCTTCAAGTGTCCAGCCCACCCAGTTACAACTCTGCGTAAAAACAAGCAGAGGTGCACAAACTCTTTTCCATGTAGTCTGGTGGAGAGATGATGTGGAGCCATTTCCCATGCATCCCATCCAGGGGGTTTACAATCATCTAGATCCTTGTCCCTTCTTCCCCAACTTCTGCCAGTATAAAACCAGGGGCTTTCCTGTCCTTAGCTTGCAGTACCAAATGCCTTGGTGTGGTGTCAAGAACAGATAAATTTAGGAGATACTTTTAGGATTTTTGGGTCAGGCTCAATGGTTCATTCCTGTAATCCCAGCACTTTGGGAGGCCGAGGCAGGAGGATCCCTTGAGCCCAGCAGTTTGAGACCAGTCTGGGCAACATAGCAAGACCCCATCTCTACAAATAATAAGAAAATTAGCAGGGCATGATGGTGTGTATGTGCTTGGGATCCCAGTTACATGAGAGGCTGAGGTGGGAGGACTGCTTAAGCCCAGGCAGTTGAGGCTGCAGTGAACCATGATAGTGCCACTGTACTCCAGCCTGGGCAACAGAATGAGACCCTGTCTTTTAAAAAAAAAATTAGGATTCTTAGTGAGCTTTAGAAATAAAATCTGGGCTGGGCACTGTGGCTTATGCCTGTAATCCCAGCACTTTGGGAAGCTGAGGTGGGAGGATCACTTAAGGCCGGGAGTTTGAGACCAGCCTGGGCAACAAAGCGAGACACCTGTCTCAAAAATAATAAAATAATAAATAAAAGTAAATACATTTTTTAAAGGAAATAAAATTTGACTAGGGATGCAAGGAATAACTAGGAGACAAAAGGTCCAGGTTCCAGTCCATCTTGAAGTCATCAAGGCTCCCCAGGTTTCAGTATTCTCTTTAATAAAATGGAGGGATTACTCTCTGAAGTATTTTCCAGTCCTATGAGTCCATAGCAGCTTACTTTGAAAAGGGGTGTTTATGTTTGTGGGCATCTCTGAGAGAAGCTAGCTCACAGCTTAGAGCACTACCCTTGGCTACTCATAGAGGTAAGGAGTGGCCTTGATAATCCAAAACCGTAGCAAACATTGGACATTTGTCTAAGACATTCAAAGTATTTTAGGCTGTGGGCTTACTTTTTACAACGATGCTTAGCACGTACTAGAATAACCATATTTCCTGAGCAATCTATAGGAAAGGAAGAGGTAAGTCAGCCTGGACTTTTAAATCCATAGGCTGATGAAACTGTCTTACATTACAACAAAACCTCCAACTTCTTTCTCTTTCTCCTTTGATCTGCACTCAGCTCTGCCCTCAGCGCAGGAACCCTGGTAAAAACTGCAGGATGTTTTGGCAATGTTGGAAGGGGCTTACTGCTTGGGGAAAGAAGCCATGTGAAAACAAAGTGCCTGCACCACTCCCATCCATCTGCAAAACCACCTTTTCTGAACTCCCATCCATCCCCCTTGACTGCTCCTCAATGCTGGCTCCTCCTCCTTCTTCAGAGCTCCTTATCCCTAGCTCTTCGGAGCCCTCTCCCAGCCTCAACCTGCCTCCAGACAAACTCTTCCCTCCCCCTCCTACCTCGGAGGGAATTTACTCCCTGCAGCCCACCACCTTTGCCATCGTCCAAGTCCTCCACACACCCTTGCTGACTCTGCCCAGATCCAGGTCTATCTGGGGAAATGGAGGCAGATTCTCCCAGCACCTTGTGAATTCCAGACAGAAAAAGACTCTTCCACTTCTCGACAAATATTCTATCCTCTGAGCCTCACCAAGTCTGCTCTGCTACCCTATGTCATCCTTGCTGCTTGAGCAACTGACTTTCGGGCCTGTGATACCTGCCTGGATCAGGTTGTCCTCCCCAGGCCTGCCTGTGTCCCTGCAAATGACCTAATCCATATCCCAAGTTTAAAAAAAAAATTGTTCATTTTATTTTTTTCATGGAGTCATTCGTGAGAGCAGAAATACAAAAAGCTGTCAAGTTAAGAATTAGAGTTTGTAGGGCCGGGTGCAGTGGCTCACACCTGTAATCGCAGCACTTTGGGAGGCTGAGGTGGCCGGATCATTTGAGGTCAGAAGTTTGAGAACAGCCTGGCCAACATGGTGAAACCTCGTTTCTACTGAAAATGCAAAAAAAATTAGCTGGGCGTGGTGGTGCATGCCTGTAATCCCAGCTACTCAGGAGGCTGACGCAGGAGAATTGCTTGAACCTGGGAGGCAGAGGTTGCAGTGAGTTGAGATCACGCCACTGCACTCCAGCCTGGGTGACAAGAGTGAAACTCTGTCTTAAAAAAAAAAAAAAGCAAAATAAAAGCATTAGAGTTTGTAAAATTTTGTTTACAAACTCAAAATTCAAAGTTCAAAATTCAAAATGTAGTTTTGTTCAAAATTCAAAATGTGTAAGTACAATTCCAAATTCAAATTGTAAAGTTTTGTTCAAAATTTAAAAAATATAAGAGGGTACAAGGCTGGGTGTGGTGGCTTACGCCTGTAAACTCAGCACTTTTGGGAAGCCAAGGGAAGAGGATCACTTGAAACCAGCCTGGGCAACAAGGCAAAACCCAGTCTCAGAAAAAAAAAAAATAGCTGTGGGAGGTGGTGTTGCCTGTGGTCGCAGCTATTCAACAGGCTGAAGTGGGAGGATTGATTCAGCCCAGGGAGGAGAAGGCTGCAGTGAGCCTTGTTCGCACTGCTGCACTCCAGCTTGGGTGATGGCGCAAGACCCTGTCAAAAAAAAAAAAAAAAAAAAAAAAAGTGGTTTCTTTTGCTCAGGCTGGAGTACAGTGGTGCAAAGAAGGCTCACTGCAGCCTCGACCTTCCTGGACTAATTTATTTATTTATTTTTTAGACAGAGTCTTGCTCTGTCGCCAGGCTGGGGTGCAGTGGCACAATCTCGGCTTACTGCAACCTCCACCTACCAGGTTCAAGTGATTCTCCTGCCTCAGCCTCTGGAGTAGCTGGGACTACAGGCGTGCGCTACCACTTCTGGCTTTTTTTTTTTTTTTTTTTTTTGAGATGGAGTTTCGCCCTTGTTGCCCAGGCTGGAGTGCAATGGTACAATCTCAGCTCACTGCAACCTCTGCTTCCCAGGTTCAAGCAATTCTCCTGCCTCAGCCTCCTGAGTAGCTAGGATTACGGACGTCTGCCACCACGCCCAGCTAATGTTTTGTATTTTTAGTAGAGATGGGGTTTCACCATGTTGGCCAGGCTGGTCTTGAACTCCTGACCTCATGATCCGCCCACCTCAGCCTCCCAAAGTGCTGGGATTACAGGCATGAGCCGCAGCACCCGGCCATTTTTTTTTTTTTTTTAATTAAAAGTGGCAAGACTGGGTCTTCCCGTGTTGCCCAGTCATTGATCTTGAATTCTTGGGTTCAAGTGATACTCCTGCCTTGGCCTCCCAAAGTGTTGAGTCTACAGGCATGAGCCACCGTGCTCGGCCCAGATAAATCTTTTTATAAAAGTTAGAGTCAGTAGATACAGCAAATTTCATTGTTGTCTTATTTTAAGAAATTGTTGGCTGGGTGGGGTGACTCACTCCTGTAATCCCAGCACTTTGGGAGGCTGAGGTGGGCGGATCACCTGAGGTCAGGAGTTCGAGGCCAGCCTGGGCCAACATGGTGAAACCCAATCTCTACTAAAAACACAAAAATTAGCTGGGTGTGGTGGGGGTGCCTGTAGTCCCAGCCACTTGGGAGGCTGAGGCAGGAGAATTGCTTGAACCCAGGAGATGGAGGTTGTAATGAGCCGAGATTGCACCACTCCACTCCAGCCTGGGTGACAGCATGAGACTTCATCTCAAAAAAAAAAAAAAGAAAAAAAGAAATTGTCAAAGCCATCCCAACCTTCAGCAACCACCACCCTAATCAGTCAGCAGCTATCGATATCAAGATAAAATCCTCCACCAGCAAAAATGTTACAACTCACTAAAGACTCAGATGACTGTTAGCATTTTTTAGCAATACAGTATTTTAAAATTAAGGTTACATACATTGTTTTTAGACGTATGCTATTGCACCCTGAATAGACTACAGTACAGTGTAAACATAACTTGTGTGCACTGGGAAACCAAAAAGTTGTTGATATGACTGGCTTTATTGAGGGGATCTGGAACGAAGCCCAAAATATCTCTGAGGTATGACCGTGTATACTTCATTTGCTTATTGTAATAGTTTCAGTATCTATGCAGTTGTAGGTTTTCCCGGACAGTTTAGTTTTGTCTGTTTGACCATCACACAGATGAATCATACTGTACATGTTCTGGGGCTGGCCTTTTCACTCAACATTATGGTTTTGTTGACTTGTGTAGCTGTAATTCATTCATTGTCTTTTAATTGGATGCTTATACTAGAATTTGTTTGTATACCTATTTACAGTTCTTTTGGATATATACCTAGGAGTGGAACTGTTGGATTATATGGCAATTATATGTTAAATTTTTAACGTATTATTATTATTATTTTTTTTTAGACAGGATCTCTGTTGACCAGACTGGAATGCAGTGGTGTGATCTTGGCTCACTGCAACCTCCACCTCCCAGGCTTAGCCTCCCGCCTTAGCCTCCCGAGTAGCTAGGACTACAGGTATGCACCACCATGCCTGGCTAATTTTTGCATTTTTGTAGAAACAGGGTTTCACCATGTTGCTCAGGCTGGTCTGGAACTCCTGAGCTCAAGGGATCCGCCTGCCTTGGCCTCCCAAATTGTTGAGATTATAGGCGTGAGCCATGGCATTTGCTCCCCCGCCCACCTCTTTTTTTTTTTTTGTAGAGATGAAGTCTTGCTGTGTTTCCCAGGCTGGTCTCGAACTGCTAGGCTCAAGCGATCCTCCAGCCTTAGCTTCCCAAATTCCTCTCAGCCTGGGATCACAGGCGTGAGCCACTGTGCCCACCCTATATGTTAAACCTTTTGAGGAACTGCCAAACTGTTTTCCACAGCAGCTGCACCATTTTATGTTCCCACCAGGAGATTGTACACAAGCTTCAATTTCTCCATATCCTTGCCAACAGTTGTTATTTTCTGTTTTTTTTTGTTTTTTGTTTTTTTTTGAGACAGCGTCTCACTCTGTTGCCCCGGCTAGAGTACAGTGGTGCGATCTTGGCTCACTGCAACCTCTGCCTCCCGGGTTCAAGGGATTCTCCTGCCTCAGCCTCCTGAGTAGCTGGGACTACAGTCACGCGCCACCACGCCTGGCTAATTTTTGTATTTATAGTAGAGATGGGGTTTCACCATATTGGCCAGGCTGGTCTCGAACTCCTGACCTTGTGATCCGCCCACCTCAGCCTCCCAAAGTGCTGGGATTACAGACGTGAGCCACCGCGCCTGGCTTGTTTTTTTTTTTAAATAGACATTCTAGTTGATATGAAGTTGTACTCATTATAGTTTTATTTTCATTTACTTAATGACTAATGATGTTGAGCATCTTTTCATGTCCTTGTTGGCCATTTGTGTGTCTTCTCTGGAGAAATATCTATTCAAGTCCTTTGCTCATTTTTTTTTTTTTGACAAGGTCTCACTCTGTTGCCCAGGCTGGAATGCACAATCATGACTCACTGCAGGCTTGACCTCCCCAGGAACAGGTGATCCTCCCACCTCAGCCTCCAGAGTAGCTAGGACTACAGGCACACGCCACCACACCCAGCTAATTTTTGTTATTTGTTGTAGAGACAGGGTTTTGCCATGTTGCTCAGGCTTAGAAGGCTTTCAAGCACAAAATGTATTACATTAGGATAATGTCTTGGGGGTAGAAATAGAACTATGAAAATAAGAATTCAGAAGAAATAGAACAATGTGAAATTTCTGACTGTTAAAGAAGATTATAATCATGTACTTTAAAAATGAATCATGAGCCCAGCACGGTGGCCCACGCCTGTAATCCCAGCACTTTGGGAGGCTGAGGCAGATGAATCACTTGAGGTCAGGAGTTCAAGACCAGCCTGGCCAACATGATGAAACCCCATCTCTACTAAAAATACAAAAATTAGCCAGGCGTGGTGGCGCATGCCTGTAATCCCAGCTACTCGGGAGGCTGAGGCAGGATAATCTCTTGAACCCGGGAGGCAGAGGTTGCAGTGAGCCGAGATCGTGCCACTGCACTCCAGCCTGGGTGACAGAGCAAGCTTCCATCTTAAAAATAAAATAAAAAATAAATAAATAAAATGAATTGGGCTGGGTGTGGTGGCTCATGCCTGTAATCCCAGCACTTTGGGAGACCAAAGCGGGTGGATCACCTGAAGTCAGGAGTTCGAGACCAGCCTGAGCAACAAGGTGAAACCCCGTCTCTACTAAAAATACGAAAATTAGCCAGACGTGGTGGCAGGCACCTGTAGTCCCAGCTACTCGAGAGGTGGAGGCAGGAGAATTGCTGGAACCTGGGAGGCGGAGGTTGCAGTGAGCCGAGATGGCGCCACTGCACTCCAGCCTAGGAGACAGAGGGAGACTCTTGTCTCAAAAAATAAACAAATAAATACATAAAAAAAAAAATAAAATGAATCATGAAGGGAATGGTTAAAAAGTGAAATAAGACTTTTTAAAAAAGATCCATGTTTACAACACACTGGAATGGCATTCTTTTGCAACTAAACATTTGGGGAAAGTTTTAGATAGCAGCATAAAAACATGCAAGGGGTACATAATTTGCAAAATTCTTTTAATGTGAGCAAAAGGGTTTGAAGATTACATGCTTCTTGAAATCAGCATGCACATGAGTCATCTGGAGTTTTAATTCGGAGTCTGAGTCAGTAGGTCTGGGTGGGGCCTGAGATTCTGTGTTTCTTTCTTTTTTTTTTTTTCTCTCTCTTTTTTTTTTGAGACAGAGTCTCGCTCTGTTGCCCAGGCTGGAGTGCAGTGGCACACTGCAGCCTCCGCCTCCCGGGTTCAAGCAATTCTCCTGCCTCAGCCTCCCAAGTAGCTGGGACTACAGGCACATGCCACCACGCCTGGCTAATTTTTGTATTTTTAGTAGAAATGGGGTTTCACCATGTTGGCCAAGCTGGTCTCGCACTCCTGACCTCAGGTGATTTGCCCGCCTCAGCCTCCCAAAGTGCTGAGATTACAGGCATGAGCCACCATGTCTGGCCCTTTTTTTTTTTTTTTTTTTCCAATTTGAGACCGGGTCACTACGTTGCCAAGGCTGGTCTCTAACACCTGGGCTCAAGCGATCCGCCCACTGCAGTCTCCCAAAGTGCTGGGATTACAGGCGTTGAGCCACCGTGCCTGGCCAGATTCTGCATTTCTACAAGTTCCTGCTGATGCTGATGCTGTCTGTCTGTGGACCACAGTCTGAGTAGCAAGCATCCACATATTCGTAAGAGTGGAGTTGCTGGATGTTGAGGTCTGCACCTGTTCAGCTTCCCTGCTAATGCTAAACTATTTTCTGAAGCAGTTGTACACCAGCCATGAGACTGTTGCTTCTTGGGAAAAAAGATATAAAGGCTTCAAATTTAATGGATATTATTCAGTGCTCCTCTTACTTGAGCTTTCTGCAGTCTGTGACATACTTGACCACACTGTTTGATCCACTGCTTTTCCCTGGTTTCCATGACACCCCTGTATCCAGGCTCCCTTCCTTCTATAATTTCAGTCTGTTCTATAAACCCTCACTCCTTTCCTGTCTTGACCTTTTCCTCTGTTGATGCCTTTGGCCTTCTAGGCCTTTATCTCATTCTCTCTGGGTGGTACCATGTGCTCTTTAGAGATTGGTTACCAGGCCGGGCACGGTGGCTCACACCTGTAATCCGAGCACTTTGGGAGGCTGAGGCAGGTGGATCACCTGAGGTCAGGAGTTCGAGACCAGTCTGGCCAACATGGTGAAACCCTGTCTCTACTGAAAATACAAAAAATTAACCAGGGTAATGGTGTGTGCCTGTAATCCCAGCTACTCAGGAGGCTGAGGCAGGAGAATCGCTTGAACCTGGGAGGCAGAGGCTGCAGTGAGCTGAGATCATATCACTACACTCCAGCCTGAGTGACAGAGCGGGACTCCATCTCAAAAAAGAAAAAAAAAAAAAAAGAGAGATTGGTTACCACATTGATGACTCTGTGATGGTTAATTTTATGTGTCAGGCCAAGCGCAGTGGCTCACGCCTGTAATCCCAGCACTTTAGGAGGGCAAGGTGGGAGGATTACTTGAGCCCAGGATTTCAAGACCACTCTGGGTAAGATGGTGAAACCCTGTTTCCACAAAAAAAAAAAAAAAAAAAAAAAAGATGTGTCAATTTGGCAAGGCTATGGTGCCCTTGGGCACTGTATATATACACATTTGCATTATTATTTATCTTAATGAGATAGACTCTCACTATGTTCTCCAGGCTGAACTTGAACTCCCAGTCTCAAGTGATTCTCCTGCCTCAGCCTCCTGGGTATCTGGGACTACAAGCATGCCACCATGCCTGACTGTAGTCTGGATACTTCAGTGAGGGCATTTTGTAGATAACACTGACATCTTGGCTGGGCACAGTGGCTCACGCCAGTAATTGGAGCACTTTGGGAGGCCAAGGTGGGCAGATCACCTGAGGTGAGGAGTTCGCGACCAGCCTGGCCAACATGGTGAACCGCTATCTCTACTAAAAATACAAAAATTAGCTGGGTGTGGTGGCAGGCACCTGTAATCCCAGCTAGTTGGGAGGCTGAGGCACAAGAATCATTTGAACCTGGAAGGCAGAGGTTACAGTGAGCTGAGACCGTGCCATTGCACTCCAGTCTGGGCAAGTCTGGGCAACAAAAGCGAAACTCCATCTCAAAAAAATAAAACGAAGCAAAGACATTGCCATCTATACTCAGCTGACGTTAAGTAAAGGAGTTTACTCTTTTTTTTTTGAGATGGAGTCTCATTCTGTCACCCTGGCTGGAGTGTAGTGGCGTGATCTCGGCTCACTGCAACCTCCGCCTCCTGGGTGTAAGCAATTCTCCCGCCTCAGGCTCCCGTGTAGCTGGGACTACAGGCACCACACCCGGCTAATTTTTGTATTTTTAGTAGAGACAGGATTTCACTATGTTGGCCAGGCTGGTCTTGAACTCATGACCTCGTGATCTGCCCGCCTTGGCCTCCAGAAGTGCTGGGATTACAGGCATGAGCCACCGTGCCTGGCCCTTTTTTTTTTAAGACAGAATCTCGCTCTGTCACCCAGGCGCGATCTTGGCTCACTGCAACCTGCGATCCGACTCCCTGGTTCAAGTGATTGTCCTGCCTCAGCCTCCCAAGTAGCTGAGATTACAGGCACATGCCAACACGCCCAGTTAAGTTTTGTATTCACCGTGTTTCACTATGTTGGCCAGGATGGTCTCAATCTCATGACCTTGTGATCCGCCTGCCTCGGCCTCTCAAAGTGCTGGGATTTCAGGTGTGAGCCACCACGCCCAGCCAGGAGATTACTCTTGATATTGTGGCCTAAAGAGCAAAGACTTAGGTTTCCCAGAGAAGGAATTCTGCCTCAAGACTGTCACATAGAAATCCTGCCTGAGTGGCCGGGCGCGGTGGCTCACTCCTGTAATCCCAGCACTTTGGGAGGCCGAGGTGGGCGGATCATGAGGTCAGGAGTTCGAGACCAGCCTGGCCAATATGGTGAAACCCCATCTCTACTAAAAATACAAAAATTAGCTGGGCGTAGTGGTGTATGCCTGTAGTCCCAGCTACTTGGGAGGCTGAGGCAGAAGAATCGCTTGAACCTAGGAGGCAGAGGTTGCAGTGAGCCGAGATCGTGCCACTGCACTCCAGCCTGGGCAACAGAGTGAGACTCCGTCTCAAAAAAAAAAAAGAAGACTATAGTTAATGAACAAGCAATCGGCCGGGCGCGGTGGTTCACGCCTGTAATCCCAGCACTGTGGGAGGCCGAGACGGGTGGATCACGAGGTCAGGAGATGGAGACCATCCTGGCTAACACGGTGAAACCCCGTCTCTACTAAAAATACAAAAAAATTAGCCAGGCGTGGTGGCAGGCGCCTGTAGTCCCAGCTACTTGGGAGGCTGAGGCAGGAGAATGGCGTGAACCCGGGAGGCGGAGCTTGCAGTGAGCCAAGATCACACCACTGCACTCCAGCCTGGGCGACAGAGCAAGACTCCATCACAACAACAACAACAACAACAAAAACAATGAACAAGCAGTCATGGTGCAATGTGATAAGACACCCAGGTGTTCTGAGAGTCAGAGGAGGGCTCAGGGGCCCCGTGGTCTATGCCTCAACGTTGGTGCTGGCTTTCCCTTCCTCATTTCTGTGCTTGCTTTTAGCCCCTGTTGTCTTGCCAGGACTCTAAATGTCTCTTAACTGGTCTTCCAGCCCCTACATACTGATTCCAGAATAATATTTCTGAAATGCAAATCAAATCATATCACTTCCTTATCTAAAATTCCATATAGCAAATCGCCTTACAAGCTGTAAATGCTGTTTCTTCCATAAGGCATTCTCTCCTTCCTCCCTGGTCTAGTGTCATTGTGGCCTTCCTTCCCTCCCCAGCCCTGAAAGGTCCTGAACTTGCAGTTCCTTTAATGCGCTCTGGGGTTTCATTGCTCACCTGGATGCTTGCATCTCTTCCTTGTCAGGTAAACACTCATCTTTTAAGGCTATCTCAAGTTCATTGATGAAACCTTTCTGATCTTCTAGAGAGACCTAATATTCCCCTGTTTGTGTCCCTGTGAACTTTATATGGACTCCTATCTCAGCTTGTATCAGTCAGGATGGCTACATCATGCTGCAGTAACAAACAACCCTGGAATCTCAGTAGCTTAACACAACAGTTTTATTTCTCACTATTGCTCTCTGTTGGGTCAGTAGGAGTGTTAGAGTCTCTGATCATCATAGTCACTCAGGCATCCAGATCAAAGGAGGCTCCATCAAAAGAGGGTGCTGGAGTGTCTTGTGTTACATTGGCAGTTAAATACTTGTGCCTGACAGTAACAACACATGTGACTTCTGCTCTTATTTCACTGGCCAAAGCAAGCCAGTTAGGCCTCTTGCAGTGGCCTAACTTCAGGAGGGCTGAGGAATTCCATCCTATCATGTGCCTGGAAGGCAGAAAACGGGAAAATTCATGAAGAGCCTCAATGGCTGCCTCAACTTGGTGTAGCGCTGACTGGCTCACATATCTCTCTCCCACTGGACAGTGGGGGAACCAAACGTGTCACAGCGTTCCTACCCTTTAGCAGTTTGTGCTCCAGGAATGTGGAGAGACCAGTATATGGATGGATTATAACTCTGTGTTAATGTTACAGTCTGGGTTTGCTGGCGTGGAAGGAGTTTGTGGAAGAAGGGCAGTAGTTTATAGGGAGAGGAGGATGGAAAGGGATGATCTTAATTTTGGTGACCCTGACAGCAGAGCTTGAGACAGGACTTGGCCGTAGGTAGTTAATTTAGGTGATCCCAGAAAGCAGAAGCGAGGCTATAGGGAGTGTGAGATCCTGAAGGAGGAAAGGCCAGTTTAAGAGAATGATGTTGGCCGGGTATGGTGGCTCACGCCTGTAATCCCAGCACTTTGGGAGGCTGAGGTGGGTGGATCACCTGAGGTCAGGAGTTCGAGACCAGCCTGGCCAACACGACGAAACCCTGTCTCTACTAAAATTGCAAAAATTAGCCTGGCGTGGTGGCATGTGCCTGTCATCCCAGCTATTTGGGAGGCTGAGGCAGGAGAATTGCTTGAACCTGGGAGGCGGAGGTTGCGGTGAGCAGAGATTGCACCATTGCACTCCAGCCTGGGCAACAGAGTGAGACTCCGTCTCAAAAAAAAAAAAAAAAAAAGAGTGATGTCACTGTTGTGTGCAGTGGAGTTCGATTCCCCCAGGCCCTCCTGAGGAGAGAGCTGAATGTCTCCAGACGCTTTCCACCTGAAGGACAGGAGGCAGGAGCATCTGTCTACTGCTTCCCACTCTGCAATAATTGCAGGTTGACTCTGGGCATTAGTTCTCTGCCCCTTTTTTTTTTTTTTTTGAGACAGAGTTTTGCTCCTTTTGCCCAGGCTGGAGTTGTAGTGAGCTGAGATAGCGCCACTGTACTCCAGCCTGGGTGACAGGGCGAGACTCCATCTCAACAAAAAAAAAAAAAAAAAAAAAAGGCTGGCTGTGGTGGCTCATGTCTGTAATCTGAGCACTTTGGGAGGCCGAGGCGGGTGGATTACCTGAGATCATGAATTTGAGACCAGCCTGGCAAACATGGTGAAACCTCGTCTCTACTAAAAATACAAAAATTAGCCGGCGTGCTGGTGGGCACCTGTAATCCGAGCTACTTGGGAGGCTGAGGCAGGAGAATCGCTTGAACCCAGGAGGCGGAGGTTGCAGTGAGCCAAGACGGCACCACTGCACTCCAGCCTGGGTGACAGAGTGAGACTCTGTCTCAGAAAAAAAAAAAAAAAGAAAAAAATTATGATACAGAGAACAATGAGATGTTTTATAAATTTATAGTTCAAAAGAAACATTTTATTTTGGTAAAAGCCAAGAAGTGAAAGATAAATAGTTTTGCAGCCATAAAAAAAAAAAATTAAATCATGTCCTTTGCAGCAACATGGATGGAGCTGGAGGACAGAATCCTAAATGAATTAGCGTAGGAACAGAAAACCAAATGCCTAATGTTCTCACTTATAACGGAACTAAATATTGAGCACATATGGACATAAATATAGGAACAATAGACACTGAAGACTACTAGAAGGGGAGAGAGGGAGGGAGTGTGGGTTAAAAAATTACCTAATTGGTTCTATGACTACCTAGTGCAATATACCCATGTAACAAACCTGCACCTGTACCCCCTGTATCTAAAATAAAAGTTGGAATTTTAAAAAAAGAAAAAAAGGCCAGGCGCGGTGGCTCATGCCTGTAATCCCAGCACTTTGGGAGGCTGAGGTAGGCGGATCACCTGAGGCCAGGAGTTGGAGACCAGCCTGGCCAACATGGTGAAACCCCGTCTCTACTAAAAATGCAAAAATTAGCTGGGCGTGGTGTCAGCCGTTTGTAATCCCAGCTACTTGGGAGGCTGAGGCAGGAGAATTGCTTGAACCCGGGAGGCGGAGGTTGCAGTGAGCCGAGATCACGCCATTGCACTCCAGCCTGGGTGACACAAAGAGACTCTATCTGAAAAAAAGAGAAAGAAAATGTGCTCTTATGTAAGTGAGAAATGTTCTGAAAAAAGAAAAAAGAGAAATATTTTAAAATGAAAAATTTGAGCTTTTCCGTAAAAAAATTTTTAATGAATTCCCAGCACTTTGGGAGGCCTAGGTTGGAGGATTGCTTGAGGCTAGTTCAAGACCAGCCTGGAAAACATAGCAAGACCTCATCTCTAATTAAAGTAAACAATTAAAAAAAACTTAGCCTGGTATGATGGTATATGCCTGTAATCTCAGCTACTCAGGAGGCTGAGGTGGGAGGATTGTGGAAGCCCAGGAGTTTGAGGCTGCCGTGAGCTATGATCAGGTCTCTGCACTCCAGCCTGGGCAACAAAGCAAGACCCCATCTCAAAAAAAAAATATTCCTCGAGGCCAGGCACAGTGGCTCACACTTGTAATCCTAACACTTTGGGAGACTGAGGCAGGAGGATCACTTGAAGCTAGGAGTTTGAGGCCAGTCCGGGCAACATACTGAGACCCCTGTCTTTACAAAAGTAAATAAATGAATAAATTAGCTGGGCATGGTGATGCATGCTTCTTGTCCCAGCTTCTTGGAAGGCTGAGGTGGGAGGATCATGTGAGCCCAGGAGTTTGTGGTTACAGTGAGCTGTGATTGCACCACTAAACTCCAGCCTGGGTGACAGTGAGACCCTGTCTTTAACTTAAAAAAAAAAAAAAATCCTGGCTGGGAGCGGTGGCTCACGCCTGTAATTCCAGCACTTTGGGAGGCCGAGGTGGGCGGATCACGAGGTCAGGAGTTCAAGACCAGCCTGGCCAAGTTGGTGAAACCCCATCTCTACTAAAAATACAAAAAAATTAGCTGGGTGTAGTGGCGGGCACCTGTAATCCCAGCTACTCAGGAGGCTTGAACCTGGGAGGCAGAGGTTGCAGTGGGCCGAGATTGCATCACTGCACTCCAGCCTGGGTGACAGAGCAAGACTCTGTCTCAAAAAAAAAAAAAAAAAAAAAATTCCTGGAAGGAATGGTTGGTGGGTGGTATATAGACATGAACCCAGACCGTCTATGAACCGAGACCGTCTATGAACTGAAGCTAGATGATGGATACATACATGAAAGTTCATTTTACTATTCTCTCTACTTTACAATATGTTTGAAATTTTACAAAATAAAACTTAATCTGCAGAGAGATTGTATCAGGGTCTCTTGTTAATAGTCCAGTAGGGTATTTCTTTTCTTTTCTTTTCTTTTCTTTTTTTTTTTTTTTCTGGAGACGGAGTTTTGTTCTTGTTGCCCAGGTTGGAGTGCAGTGGTGCAATCTCAGCTCACAGCAACCTCTGCCTCCCAGGTTCAAGCAATTCTCCTGCCTCAGCCTCCTGAGTAGGTGGGGTGACAAGTGCCTGCCAACACACCCGGCTAATTTTTGTATTTTTAGTAGAGACGGGATTTCACCATGTTGGTCAGGCTGGTCTCAAACTCCTGACCTCAGGTGATCCACCTGCCTTGGCCACCCAAAGTGCTGGGATTACAGGCGTGAGCCACTGGGCCTGGCCTTGAATAGGTATCATATGTACCCAGTGAAAACTACAAGGAGTAATAAAGGGGATTTGGTGAAAATTAAGTTGCCTTCTTTACCTCCCACCTCATTTTCCAGCCCCCAGTTCTCCCCAGAGGCAACTCTCCTATCCAGTTTTTTGTAAACTTTTCCAGTGAAATTATATACACACAGAGAGCATATGTGGCTACTATCCTCTTTCCCTCCTTTTTTTGCATAAATGGTGGCATCCCATACATACAGTTCTGAATGTCTATCTAGTTTAAAAGTGTATATTATATAACATATATATCTGGAGACATTCAGCTCTGTACACACAGATAAGCCTTAAGCTTGCAGAGACTGCGTAGTATTCAGTTGTCCCCATACCACAATGTGCTGTGTCTGTCCCCTATTAATGGACGTGGGAGTTTCCAAACATTTCCTCTTGGTAACAGTGAATGCTAAAGCAAATATCCTGGTACCTTTTATACCTGTAGGGTAGCCGATCTTCTCCTTTTGATGGTCCTAATTCTCAAAGGTAACCTTAAGGGGAGTGTATTTTGCTGTTGGTTCTGTGGATGACAGGTGACAAAACAGGGTGAGTAAGGCTACGAAATAGCTAATGAATTTGCCAAGCCAAACCTGAGGTTCCAGGCTGTCTTAAGTCAAAGCCTGAATTCCTCATACCACACTGGGGCTGGGGCCAGAGACGGGGCAGGAGGAGCTCTTCTCAGGTATAACCTTTCATTTGTGTTGGGCAGGAAAGCAAGGCATGAACGTATGTCTTTCTACTGGGCAAGTTCCCTCTTCACCCCTTGGCAGCACTGGAGGAGTGAGGGCAGGAGGATTCTCCCATGTGAGCCCCAGGCTATCCTTTTGTCAAGAGGGTACTGGTACCCAGAACTGGGAAGGGGATGAATATCTCCCCACTCCCCAGGATAAAGGAAAACATTAGAGAGGAATTTTCAATGAAAGGGCAGAGGAGGCTAGTGAGGCCCCCACTGCCACCAATGCTAAGCCCAGAGCTGGGGTTGGGGTGGTGAGGACCGGAGCCAGGGCAATTCAGCCATAGGCCACCCCTCCCCCTGGCCCATCCTCAGCTGACCCCTGAGCACCTGAGTTGTGTTTACCACCCTCTTACCTGGGTTACCCAGGGCAGCTTCCCTGATGGGTAGCAAGAAGTGGGTGATAACATGCACCATGCCCCCCACCAGCCCAAGGACAGTGGAGACCTCAGAGGGCTGAGGTAAGAGCTGCGGTGTGGGCAGATGGA
Organism: Homo sapiens; assembly: GCF_000001405.40. Classification (NCBI taxonomy): domain Eukaryota; kingdom Metazoa; phylum Chordata; class Mammalia; order Primates; family Hominidae; genus Homo; species Homo sapiens. The sequence goes on from NT_167245.2 coordinate 3,168,481, forward strand.
CACCCTGGTACACCCCAGGCCTGTGAGTCTTTAGAGGTTGAGTTTTTGTCTGAAAGAGATATGGCGCCTACAGGAGGTCAGGGACAGGCCTTCTGTTTCTTGGGAGGCCCTACCCCACCCCTTAGTTCCTCGTTCCATTCTCAGGAATTGTTTGTGCAATGGATGGACAAGGACAGGAGGTTCAGTGTCTAACCCAGTGTCTGGGCCTGCAGGGTGGCCTCTGAGGCCCAGGGCCCTGGAAGAGCCTGGGCATGGGGAGGAGCCCCATGGGGCAGGGCAAAACCCTTTCTGAGGCTCTAAGGGTGATGTATGTGGAGATTCCTCAAGATCATAGTTGGGCAATCACTTCAAAGTTAGTAGGCAGTGCCTGCTAGGATGGGGGATGGTGTGTGTACCGAGGAACTTAGCAGAGGCCTTTGTGTGGAAATGGGTGGGGTCTGACCCAATGTAAATATTTTTATTAAAAAAGAAATGGATGAGAAACCAAAGCCAATTCTGTTGCTGACCTGAAAGATGCTATTTACTTGGGGTGGAAATAGGATGGGGGAGGGCATTGGCTTGACCTTACTTGGATAGCTCATTGTTTAAAAAAAAAACTCCTGGATCCTTCCTCTGGGGAGCTTGAGACAAGTGCACAAGTAGCTAGAAGGTGGGAAATGGCGTGGACAGGTCTTGTAGGAGTCTGGAAGATGAGGGATTTGAGAAGGATGGAAAAGAAGGTGTTATGGGAGAGGGGGTGCCAAGAGGAAAGAGCCTAGGGGAGAGAGGGCTTGGAAATGCAAGGGGCTGGGGTAGACTTCAGGGATGCGCAAGGAGCTCCCAGCAGTCACTAAAGAGAAGACGTGAGGAAGAGGCACTACCACTTGGTGGCTATGAGTGTGGACCCAGGAGCCATGCTGCCTGGGTTTGAATCCCGGCTCTGCTGCTTAGTACCTGTATGAACCTGGGGCAGCTCACTTAACCTTTGTGTGCCTCAGTTCCCTCATCTGTAAAGTGGGAGTAACAACAGAACCTGTGTCATAAGCTTGCTGTGAGGATTAAGTGAGCACCTACATTTAAGACTTAAAAATACTGTCTGGCACTATGTCCTGCTAATATGAAGTCTTCCTCCCCCAGAAGCAGACCTGGAGACAAGGGTTCCAGTGCAGACAGTGCATTCTGGAGGTGATCGCAAGAAACATGGGTAGTGGAGTGTGATAGAGAAGGAAGGCAGTCAATGAAGGGTGTGTTATCAGGCAAATTTACCATTGTGGGTGAGTGGAGGTCAATCCCACTCAGGAACCCTGGAGTGGTGCAGAGTTATCCCATGGTCCAGGGTGAGGGAGCCCAGTATTTATACCAATCAGTCATTGGTTGAAGGCCTTAATTCTCTGTCATTTCCAGCTTTCTGTGCACAGATGGTGCAGGACACCAAAAACAATCCTTGGGTAGAGACAGAGATGCTGCAGCTGGAAGTCAGTGGAGCACCCCAGTGATAAGGCCCAAGGGATATGGTGGGGCAAGGACAGATCCACTAAAACCACCAAGAGGCTTGCAGAGCAATGCTGAATCCCCATCTAAAGTCACACATTAAGGCTGTGAACCAGGCCAAGCCAGACTAGTTTTCCAATTTGGGGGTTGACCTGCAGTTGCCATAGAAGGTTGAGGGGTGGCAGATCCTAGGATGACCGCGAAGTCCATGCCCAAGTGGCCAGACTGGATAAGGAGTAGACTGGCCACTAGAGTGGGGTCGGCCTCTGCTATATGCCACGTTTCCTCAGAAATTTTCAGCTGCAAGGTGCTGAGCTCTCCAGGGGAGAATAAGGCATCCTGAGAGGCCATCAGAGCATCATTTCTGATTTTTAAACTCTGATTAGGGGGCCTGGCACAGTGGCTCACACCTGTAATCCCAGCACTTTGGGAGGCAGAGGCAGGTGGATCACCTGAGGTCAGGAGTTTGAGACCAGCCTGACCAGCATGGTGAAACCCCATCTCTACTAAATATACAAAAATTAGCTGGGCATGGTAGCACATGCCTGTAATCCCAGCTACTTGGGAGTCTGAGGCAGGAGAATCCCTTGAACCCAGGAGGTGGAGGTTGCAGTGAGCCGAGATCGTACTGCTTCACTCCAGCCTGGGCAACAAAGCAAGACTTTGTCTCAAAAACAAAAAACCAAAAAAACCAAAAGCAAAAATCCAACTCTGACTAGGAGATGAAGTACAGAATTGGGGTATTGGTTTTTTCTCTTTGGAATTGTACCCTTGGAAGCAGATATTAGAAGCCTAGAATTGATAAGAAGAAATTTGGACAAGATGGAAGAAGCTGGCAGGAGAGGCATGTCTGTTTTTTAGATATTATTCACCTGCTTCCCTCTACCTGGAGTGAAAACACGGTTACATTTGCTGGGCTTTTGAATGGTACAAGAAATAGAGAAGCCAAGGTCGCCCTCATCTGGTGGGGTCTACTGAAAAGCTAATCGGGAGTGCCGAGGGGAATAAAGGTCTGGCATCTTTAGCCCCACAGGTCAGGTCATGGTCCTTCCACATTCGACTGGGCCTCCTGGAGAGCTGACAGTGGACTATAACTGACTTTTTGCCAATGGAATATGAATGGAAGAGTGGGGTGGGAGGCAGACTTGATGGAGACCCTGTTTCAACCATGCAGACAAGGACAATTTCCAAAGGCATGAACCACAGATGGAAGGAAGCTGGAGGCCTGAAGGAGGCTGATGAGCAGCTCTGCCAGCCAGGGCCACACACGCCATCTCAGCCTTGTCTGCTTACCCTGAGCCTCTTATTTTGTTTTTATTTTTTTTTTGTTGAGATGGAGTCTTGCTCTGTCACCCAGGCTGGAGTGCAGTGGCACGATCTCCGCTCACTGCAAGCTCCATCTCCCGGGTTCACGCCATTCGCCTGCCTCAGCCTCCCGAGTAGCTGGGACTACAGGCGCCGCCACCACACCCAGCTAATTTTTTTTTTTTTGTAGTTTTAGTAGAGACAGGGTTTCACCATGTTAGCCAGGATGGTCTCGATCTCCTGACCTCGTGATCCGCCCGCCTCGGCCTCCCAAAGTGCTGGGATTACAGGCGTAAGCCACCGCACCCGGCCTCTGAGGCTCTTATTTATTTATTTTTTTTGAGATGGAGTCTCGCTCTGTCTCCCAGGCTGGAGTGCAGTAGCGCGATCTCAGCTCACTGCAAACTCTGCCTCCCGGGTTCCTGCCATTCTCCTGCCTCAGCCTCCCGAGTAGCTGGGACTACAGGCGCCTGCCACCGCGCCCGGCTAATTATTTGTATTTTTTAGTAGAGACGGGGTTTCACCGTGTTAGCCAGGATTGTCTCGATCTCCTGACCTTGTGATCCACCCGCCTCGGCCTCCCAAAGTGCTGGGATTACAGGCGTGAACCACCGCGCCCGGCCTCTGAGGCTCTTATTTGAAAGTGCAGCAAAATTCTATCTTATTTAAGTTACTGTATTTTAGGGTCTCTTTATTACAGAAGTTTAACGTGTATCCTAATAAACACACTTCTCTGAGTGTTGCCTTTGGCTCTCACATTGATTTCTTGCTAGGTATATCAGTTAGACATGGTTTGGCTTTGTTATAACCAAGCTAGAATAACAGCAGCTTAAATGGTCTGAGCATAAGTGGTCCAGGTCAATCCTATTAGCTCTACAGGATTGGAGAGCAGGGCCTCTTTAATTTTGTTTCTTTATCATCATCCACATGTGACTTCCATTTTGTGATCTAGGTGGCTGTTCCAGAGTCCACCATTCTGTCCACATTCCAGCTGGTGGGAAGGGAAGAAGTTTTATACATTGAGGAGTAAACACTTCTCCTTAAGAACATACTCTGTGGGCCCAGAAAACTTGGGAGTTTTATTACTTAAGCAGGAAGAGAGAATGAATTCTGCCACACTGTGCCAAGTTGATGTAGCTCAACAAATACTGGGAAAAACTCATGAAAGAAAGGCCCTTTCTTTTGAAGGCAGCTGTTACATATTAGTTTGATGGCTTTAAAAGGCACCCAAAGTTTAGTGATTTGAATGTTCAGTCAGGTTAGGCTTCATTACGTTCTGGTAACCAACAACCTAGAAATATTTGTTGCCATAGGAGGGCTTACAAAATATAGCCATCAGTCTCTCCTATTCTGATGTGCCTGCCCCTTTGCCGTGTGACTTTGCCATCCCTCCTATCAAGAGGTAAATTCTATGCCTCCAGTCTTAAATCTGGGCTGACCTTGTGATTTGCTTTGACCAATAGAATGTGGCAGAAGTGATGTTATGTGACTTTTGGGGCTAGGCCTCGAGAGACCTTGCAGCTTATGTTTTGGATTCCTCAGAAGTTGTCCTGAGACTGCCATGCTATGAGGGCTAGGGAGGAAGGACCTGCTGTCCTACTGTTAACTGAACTCAGCCCCTAGCTGACTGCCGCTGCATGGAAGATCAGCAGAAGAACCTTCTGGCCAATATGAGAAAGAATAAATCATTTTTAAATTTCCTACATATTGGGTGGGTACTTTTTTTCCTGCATTAGTAGAAATGCAATGAATTAAAATAACAAAGGTTTATTTTTTGGTCATATTACTTATCCACTGAGAGTCAGCCGAGTATTGCGCTTTTTTTTTCTTTTTTGAGACAGAGTCTCCCTATGTCACCCAGGCTGAAGTGCAGTGGTGTGATCTCGGCTCACTGCAATCTCTGCCTCCCGGGTTCAAGCGATTCTCCTACCTCAACCTCCTGAGCAGCTGGGATTACAGGCGTATGCCACCACGCCCAGCTAATTTTTGTATTTTTAGTAGAGATGGGGTTTCACCATGTTGGTCAGGCTGGTCTCTAACTCCTGAACTCAGGTGATCCCCCTGCCTCGGCCTCCCAAAGTGCTGGGATTACAGGTGTGAGCCACTGTGCCCGGCTGGTACTGTGCTTTCGATATCACCCAGGGATCTTGGCTGGTGGAGCAGCCACCATCTCAGACGTTACCATACAGAGGGGAAGAGCAGGGTGAAGACTACATTGAGCTTCCATCAGGAAGTGATACATATCACTTGTACTCACATCTTATTGGCTAAAACAAGTGGCTGGGGAAATCCTATCCTACCATGTGATTGAAAGAAGACAAGGCTACAGTATTTGTGAACATCCTTAAATACCCCCCACCTTTACGATAGTTTATTTCTCTCTTGTAACAATCTAAGTGGCTGTGCAGGGCTGGTATGACATCAACACTGTGTCAGACACCCAGGCTCCTCTGTCTGTTTGCTCTGTCATCCCCAGCATGTTGCCCTCATCCTCCTGGTGGAAGACGGATCTCCGCTAGGTTTATATTCCAGCCCATGAAAAGAAAAGGCACACTGCCTTTTTATTTTAGGGACATAACTTGGAAATGACATACATAAGTTCTACTAACATCCCATTAGCCAGAACCAAGTCACCTGGCTACCTAGCTGCAAGGGAAGCTAGGAAATATGGTCTTTAGCTGGGTGACTGTGTGTTCCCCTAACCATCTCTTACTGTGGAAGGAGGGAGAAAAGATACTTGAGGGGCAGGGGAGGCACTAGCAGCTCTGCCACAGCAGCCACTTTGGAGTCCCTAACACCAGGATGTCCTGATTTTCATGCACTTAGCCCTGTCCAAGGGGAGTCTCAATTTGTGTACTCTTTTTTTTTTTTTTGAGACAGAGTCTTGCTCTTGTCACCCAGGCTGGAATGCAGTGGCATGATCTTGGCTCACTGCAACCTCTGCCTCCCGGGTTCAAGTGATTCTCCTGCCTCAGCCTCCCGAGTAGCTGGGATTACAGGCCCCTGCCACCACACCCGGCTAATTTTTTGTAATTTTAGTAGAGACGGGGTTTCACCATGTTGGCCGGGCTGGTCTCAAATTCCTGACCTCATGATCCACCCGCCTCAGCCTCCCAAAATGCTGGGATTACAGGCGTGAGTCACTGTGCCCGGTCTTATTTTTTTTTTTTCTTTTTGAGATGTAGTCTTACTCTGTTGCCCAGGCTGGAGTGCAGTGGCACAATCTTGGCTCACTGCAACCTCCATCTTCTAGGTTCAATCAGTTCTCTAAGGACTCACTTATAAATCAAAAGGGTTTTTACGAACCTAAATGATCACTTCAGAGAGGTTTCATGTTCATTTTTTTATTGGTCTTATTTATTTTTACCCTACATTGTTCAAAAAGGTATTGAAAAGACTTCTGTGGGTCAGGGAGACTAACACACTAGCTTCAAGTTTCTTTGCTTCCTGCATTTCATACAAGTGTAGGTTATGATTTAAAGGCATATCCCAGCCCCCGCAAAAGTTTTATTCCTTTGAGTAACCAACCCCAAATGTATTTACTTTGCCAGTTGGGAATTTCATCTACTAGACTTTCCGTAAAAATGTTGTAAACATTTTTCCTGTCTCCAAAACTAAGTGTTGATTTCATTTTTTCCACCTAGATTATCTCTAGGGAAGGATTGTAGGGAATAAAAAAGTATTGTCAATCTTCCTATTTATCAAGAAGTTCTAAAAAAATTAGTTTCACCCCCCTCGGAAGTTTATCTTCAAGAAGACAGAACTGTTCTAGGCTCTCAGGAAGTAAAACCCACTTGGTACAACCCAAAAGAACACTAAAACTTTACTTAAATGAAATATTTTGCAATATCTTGGATGGTTTGTGGGTTTGTGTGCTTTAGACTATTGACTATTCACACAAGAGCAAGGTGCATGTGTGCACACACGAGCCCAAATATGTGTTTGCCTGCGTGTTTGTGAGCATGCGTGTATGGTGCACATGTGCACGCATGGGTGGGTGGAGCGTGGGGGCAGTACACAAAGCCTGTGGGGGAGATCTATTGACCCTATAGATATATTAGCATCAGGGAGACAGGGCAAAGGTTTCACCCTTCAGTTCAGTCCCCAATCCCTGCTTATTATTTCCCTAACAGAAGACCATCCCCCTTGCCACTCCCTGGTTTTTCTTCTCTGGCAGCAATGAAGCAGCTGCTGACCCAGCTCTAGTTTTCGGGAAGTCAGATGACCTTTTCCCTCCCGCGGCTCTCTACCTCTCGCCGCCCCTAGGGAGGACACCATGGGCCCACTGATGGTTCTTTTTTGCCTGCTGTTCCTGTACCCAGGTAGGAGGCAGGGAAGGGGGAACGTCAGGGTCCTGTGTGTGAGGTTGGTGCTCCCAGCTTGAATTCCCATGTGTGAAACAGTCTCTTTTGCTTTCCTTTTCTCATCTGTGTCTTCCTTCTTTCTCCATTGCTGTCTCCTTGTTCCCACGGCTCTAGGTCTGGCAGACTCGGCTCCCTCCTGCCCTCAGAACGTGAATATCTCGGGTGGCACCTTCACCCTCAGCCATGGCTGGGCTCCTGGGAGCCTTCTCACCTACTCCTGCCCCCAGGGCCTGTACCCATCCCCAGCATCACGGCTGTGCAAGAGCAGCGGACAGTGGCAGACCCCAGGAGCCACCCGGTCTCTGTCTAAGGCGGTCTGCAAACGTGAGGCTCCCTGTGGGCTTTGCTCAGGGTGGTACACCAGGGGCCACCCCAGAACTTTTGTTTAGGAGTTGCTCAGGGTGGGACTTAACCTGACTAGATGGCAAAGTTGCTTTTGCAGAGGGCTTTTCAAAATATCCAGAAAATGTCAATTGCCAGTAGCAAGGAATTGGGAACAGGTCTTGATGGAGACTGTGGGGTACTAAAGCCAGGGATGACTTTTTATGTACAATTGACTGCCTAGTAGTGACCATTCAGAACAGATGCTGAATGGTCCTGGAGTCCTCTAGACATCTGAGGATCCCAAGGGGAGTGTCTGGGGAGGCCACGGCCCTCAGGAGACTGAGGGAAGTGGCTATTTATCAATCAGTTCGCTTAGACTCTGTGAAATTGGCAATATTCAATCAGTTGCCAAAAACAGCAATTTCACATGTTGCAACCTAATATTTCAGTGTTTTGACAGCCAGTTGACCATTCCCATGCATTCCAGCATAAAATCACCTGCTTAATCCCCAGCCCAGGTGTTATCCATCCAGTCCTATATTCCCCACCCACTTCCTCTCTCTCCAGCTGTGCGCTGTCCAGCCCCTGTCTCCTTTGAGAATGGCATTTATACCCCACGGCTGGGGTCCTATCCCGTGGGTGGCAATGTGAGCTTCGAGTGTGAGGATGGCTTCATATTGCGGGGCTCGCCTGTGCGTCAGTGTCGCCCCAACGGCATGTGGGATGGAGAAACAGCTGTGTGTGATAATGGGGGTGAGTTCTCTGGCTGATGGGCTACACAGGGGGCTGGGGTCTCCTGGGGAACCCTGGGGCCCAATGTGCATCCAGGAAGCCTCTGTGGGGATAGGAGTCTGTTGTTCAGTGTGCCATAATAATATTCCTGGATTTTGGTAAATTGAGGTCTACAGGTCACACATCACAAGTCTGCAAGGGCCAGGCCCCAGGCAGCTGGTGCTAAGCTTCAGATGTAGCATAAAGCCTCCACACACTCTGCCTGGCTTTTCTAAGTGCCTCAAAGCAAGACTTCATATTCAGGCCCCACAGATTGTTGTAGGGAAGATATGCTGGGAGAGAGTCAAGTACTGTGCTTTAATGCCTTGCCTTTAAAGCCAGGTTTGGGTTCCAAGCCCTACTCTGACTTTGACAGACTTTGGGAAGGCTATTTAACCTTTCTAGCCCTCAGTTTTCCCATCTGTAAGACAAGGATAGTGAGTGCTGACCTGAGATTGCCATCTGGATTAAATGAGTTGACATTAGTAAGCATATACAACAGCCCTGGAGTGCGGTGGCTCACGCCTGTAATCCCAGCACTTTGGGAGGCCAAGGGGGGTGGATCACAAGGTCAGGAGTTTGAGACCAGCTTGGCCAACATGGTGAAACCCCGTCTCTAGTAAAAATACAAAAATTAGCCGGGTGCGGTGGCGCATGCCTGTAATACCAGCTATTCAGGAGGCTGAGGCAGGAGAATCATTTGAACCAGGAAGTGGAGATTGCAGTGAGCCGAGATTGCATCATTGCACTCCAGCCTGAGTGACAGAGTAAGACTCTGTCTCAAAAAAAAAAAAAAAAAAAAAAAATGCCAGCCTCGGTGCCTCACGCCTGTAATCCCAGCACTTTGGGAGGCTGAGGTGGGTGGATCACCTGAGGTCAGGAGATTGAGACCAGCCTGGTCAACGTGGTGAAACCTCGTCTATACTAAAAATACAAAAATTAGCTGGGCGTGGTTAATCCCAGCTACTCAGGAGGCTGAGGCAGGAGAATCACTTGAACCTGGGAGGCAGAGGTTGCAGTGAGCCGAGATCGTGCCACTGCACTCCAGCCTGGGTGACAGAGTGAGACTCTGTCTCAAAACAAACAAACAAACAAACAAACAAAAAACAAAAAAAACAGCCCCTGGAATCTGATAAATGCCATGTACACTTTTTTTTTTTTTTGAGACGGAGTCTAGCTCTTGTTGCCCAGGCTGGAGTGCAATGGCGCAATCTCAGCTCACCGCAACATCTGCCTCCCGGGTTCAAGTGACTCTCCTGCCTCAGCCTCCCAAGAAGCTGGGATTACAGGCATGCGCCACCATGCCTCGGTAATTTTCTATTCTTAGTAGGGACAGGGTTTCTCCATGTTGGCCAGGCTGGTCTCAAACTCCTGACCTCAGGGGATTCTGCCCACCTTGGCCTCCCAAAGTGCTGGGATTACAGGCGTGAGCCACGGCATCCGGCCTTGTTTTTGTTTCTTTAAGAGACAGGATCTCGCTGTGTTGCCAAGGCTGGCTTCAAACTCCTGAGCTCAAGTGATCTTCCTACCTCAGCCTCCTCAGTAGCTGGGAATGCAGGCATGTGCCACCACACCTGGCCATAAGCACTTTTGTCATAGTTATTGCTGCCCCTGTGAATGGTGAGGGGCTCTGCTTGGCAGAAGTAGGGCTCCTAGGATTCCCTGGAGCTGCATTTGCCTGTGGGTTTGGGAGCTTCTTGGATCATGGTTCTTAGCACATCATACAGAAGACACGGAGTCCACAAGATGGCAGGACCACCTTCACCTAGTGGCCCAGACCATGGATCCCCACTCATGCCCTTGGGTTTTGGCAAATGGCCATTTATTCTGTAGGAGGGTGAAGTAGATGCCTGGTAAGACTGTGATAAGTAATGCTTGAATTATTAGACGTGACTCTAACTTATTTTAAAATTGAGGCATAATTTACCTATTGTAAAATGTACAAATCTTAACTATTCAGCTCAATGATTTGTTACAATGCATCCACTCATCTAATCACCACCCAAGACAGAATGAGGTTCCCTCTTGTCCCCTCCCACAAGGTAACTGCTCTTCTGACCTCTGTCTCCATGGACTAGGTACCTTGTGCTTACATTTCCTGTAAATGGAATCATGCGGGATGTGGTCTGTTGCTTCTGGCATCCTTTGTTCTATATTCTGCCTGTGAGATTTATCCATGCTGTTGTGTGTATCAGTACTTTGTTCTTTTTTATTGCTGTGTAGTATTCCATTATATGGGTATATTACAATTTATCCATTCCCCTCCTGATGGACATTTGGATTATTTCCAGTTTGGGGCCATTAGGAGTAAAGCTCTAGGAACATTCTTTTTTTTTTTTTTTTTTTAATTGATCATTCTTGGGTGTTTCTCACAGAGGGGGATTTGGCAGGGTCACAGGACAATAGTGGAGGGAAGGTCAGCAGATAAACAAGTGAACAAAGGTCTCTGGTTTTCCTAGGCAGAGGACCCTGCGGCCTTCCGCAGTGTTTGTGTCCCTGGGTACTTGAGATTAGGGAGTGGTGATGACTCTTAAGGAGCATGCTGCCTTCAAGCATCTGTTTAACAAAGCACATCTTGCACCGCTCTTAATCCATTCAACCCTGAGTGGATACAGCACATGTTTCAGAGAGCACAGGGTTGGGGGTAAGGTCACCGATCAACAGGATCCCAAGGCAGAAGAATTTTTCTTAGTACAGAACAAAATGAAAAGTCTCCCAGGTCTACCTCTTTCTACACAGACACGGCAACCATCCGATTTCTCAATCTTTTCCCCACCTTTCCCCCCTTTCTATTCCACAAAACCGTCATTGTCATCATGGCCCCTTCTCAATGAGCTGTTGGGTACACCTCCCAGACGGGGTGGTGGCCGGGCAGAGGGGCTCCTTACTTTCCAGTAGGCGCGGCCAGGCAGAGGCGCCCCTCACCTCCCGGACAGGGCGGCTGGCCGGGCGGGGGGCTGACCCCCCCACCTCCCTCCCGGACGGGGCGGCTGGCCGGGCGGGGGGCTGATCCCCCCACCTCCCTCCCGGACGGGGCGGCTGGCCGGGCGGGGGGCTGACCCCCCCACCTCCCTCCCGGACAGAGTGGCTGGCCGGGCAGAGGGGCTCCTCACTTCCCAGCAGGGGCGGCCGGGCAGAGGCGCCCCTCACTTCCCGGATGGGGCGGCTGGCCGGGCGAGGGGCTGACCCCCCCACCTCCCTCCCGGACGGGGCGGCTGGCCGGGCAGAGTGGCTCCTCACTTCCCAGTAGGGGCGGCCGGGCAGAGGCGCCCCTCACTTCCCGGACGGGGCGGCTGGCCGGGCTGGGGGCTGACCCCCCCACCTCCCTCCCGGACGGGGCGGCTGGCCGGGCGGGGGGCTGACCCCCCCACCTCCCTCCCGGACCAGGTGGCTGCTGGGCGGAGGGGCTCCTCACTTCTCAGACAGGGCGGCTGCCGGGCGGAGGGGCTCCTCACTTCTCAGATGGAGCGGTTGCCAGGCAGAGGGTCTCCTCACTTCTCAGACGGGGCGGCCGGGCAGAGACGCTCCTCACATCCCGGATGGGGCGGCCGGGCAGAGGTGCTCCCCACATCTCAGACGATGGGCGGCAGGGCAGAGACGCTCCTCACTTCCCAGATGTGATGGCGGCCGGGAAGAGGCGCTCCTCACTTCCTAGATGGGATGGCGGCCGGGCAGAGACGCTCCTCACTTTCCAGACTGGGCAGCCAGGCAGAGGGGCTCCTCACATCCCAGACGATGGGTGGCCAGGCGGAGACGCTCCTCACTTCCCAGACGGGGTGGCGGCCGGGCAGAGGCTGCAATCTCGGCACTTTGGGAGGCCAAGGCAGGCTGCTGGGAGGTGGAGGTTGTAGCGAGCCAAGATCACGCCACTGCACTCCAGCCTGGGCATCATTGAGCACTGAGTGAACGAGACTCCGTCTGCAATCCCAGCACCTCGGGAGGCCGAGGCTGGTGGATCACTCGCGGTTAGGAGCTGGAGACCAGCCCGGCCAACACAGCGAAACCCCGTCTCCACTAACAAAATACGAAAACCAGTCAGGCGTGGCGGCGCGCGCCTGCAATCGCAGGCACTCGGCAAGCTGAGGCAGGAGAATCAGGCAGGGAGGTTGCAGTGAGCCGAGATGGCAGCAGTACCGTCCAGCTTCGGCTCGGCATCAGAGGGAGACCGTGGAAAGAGAGGGAGAGGGAGACCATGGGGAGAGGGTGAGGGAGAGGGAGCTCTAGGAACATTCTTGCATGTGATTTTGGTACATGTATGCACTTGCTTCTCTTGAGTAAATGATCTAAATGTGGAATTGTCACATCACAGGCTGGCATATGTTTAGTTGTAGTAGAGGCTGAGAAAGTTTCACCCACGTACATGCCAGCAAGGTAACAGAGTGCCAGTCGCTCTGCATCCTCTCCAACACTTGGAATTACCTGTTGTTTCAGTGTTAGCCGTTTTGATGGGTGTGTAGGGATGCCTCACTGTGGTTTATGAAATATAAATGTTCTCTGAAGGAGTGGAGGGACCATCAGCTGACTTCTTCCCTGGGTCTCTGGGGGCTCTGGGACAGACATGGGTGCATCCCTGGGTTGGAACTGGGAAGCTTCTGCTGGCAACTGAGGCCGCTGAGGAGGCAGAGCCTGATGGGAGGGGGCTACTCACCTCTGCCTTCCTTTGTTCACTCGCAGCTGGCCACTGCCCCAACCCAGGCATTTCACTGGGCGCAGTGCGGACAGGCTTCCGCTTTGGTCATGGGGACAAGGTCCGCTATCGCTGCTCCTCGAATCTTGTGCTCACGGGGTCTTCGGAGCGGGAGTGCCAGGGCAACGGGGTCTGGAGTGGAACGGAGCCCATCTGCCGCCGTGAGTAGCTGCCCTGCCCTCCTGAGATTCCTCGGCACACCCGGCCACTGCCCCGGCTGACTCCTGTGTGGCTCTCCCCACAGAACCCTACTCTTATGACTTCCCTGAGGACGTGGCCCCTGCCCTGGGCACTTCCTTCTCCCACATGCTTGGGGCCACCAATCCCACCCAGAAGACAAAGGGTGAGTGTTTGAGGTGGGGTTTCTGGTTGAGCAGGGTGCTGGATCTGGGCCGGAGCAAGGGAGGATGCAACCTTCCTGGAGGCCAGGAGCCTTGGTGGGCTCAGCCACTGAAAGGGAGGGAGGCAGAGAAGCTGGACCTGCTTGGCGAGAGCGCAGGAAGGAGGTGGGGATCTGAATCCTCCCCTTCCACATTTCTCCAGAAAGCCTGGGCCGTAAAATCCAAATCCAGCGCTCTGGTCATCTGAACCTCTACCTGCTCCTGGACTGTTCGCAGAGTGTGTCGGAAAATGACTTTCTCATCTTCAAGGAGAGCGCCTCCCTCATGGTGGACAGGGTCAGGAATCAGGAGTCTGCCTGCAGCAGAGGCCTTCCTGTGCTCACTATCTCTCTCTGTCTCCTTCCCCTCCTCAGAACCCCACTCACAGCCCACCTCCTCCAAGAAGTCTTCTCAGATTATACTCATGCCATGTAGGAATCATGAATTCAATTTATACAATCATAATTTTTATTCCACAAGCACTGTTGGGACACTGTGCTGGGGCTGGGCGACAGCAAAGATGGAAAGGCTGAGGTCTTACTTTCCAGGAATTCATCATCTAGAACAGTGGTCTCCACAGAAAGGTAGTGAGATAACCCACAGGAGTGAAGCAGAAAAATACTGGTGCCCCTGTGGAATAATTTAAATCAGATTAATAATTTAATATTTAATAATTTCCTTTTAAAACTTCAACATTTTGTGCAGGCTTTAAAATGTGTGTGATAGACTGGGCATGGTGGCTAGTGCCTGTAATCCCAACACTTTGGGAGGCCGAGGCAGGTGGATCACTTGAGGTCAGGAGTTTGAGACCAGCCTGACCAACATGATGAAACCCTGTCTATACTAAAAATACAAAATTAGCCACATGTGATGGCGCACGCCTGTAACCCAGCTACTTGGGAGGATGAGGCAGGAGAATCGCTTGGATCCGGGAGGTGGAGGTTGCAGTGGGCTGAGATCACGCCATTGCACTCCAGCCTGGGCAACTAGAGCAAAACTCTGTCTCAAAAAAATAAATAAAATAAAATAAAATAAAATAAAATATGTGTGATAGAAGTTTGGAAGCCACTGGTTTAAGTTCCTCGCCAGAACTTTGTTTTGTAATTGTGCTTTTCACAATACTTCATGTAACATTATAGATGGTTTTCCCTCCCAGCTACATTTTAAAGAGGGCAGTTTCTGTGCTCTCTTGGGACTCAAAATTAAGTAACTCATTGCACTGCGAGGCGGCAACACACACCAGTTGGAGCAGTGATTGAGAATCATGTGACACATTCAGATCCCACTTCCACCTCCTCCTCATGGTGTGATGGGGGAAGGGGGACAAGGCAACATACCTCAGTTTCCTTATCCATAAAATAGGGGTCATCATGCCCCTCACAGGGTGGAGTGAAGAGAGTCTGTCAAAGAGAAAGATGTTCAACAAAGGTTTCTTCCTTAGCTGCTGCTGTTCCTTATTTTTATTATTATTATTATTATTATTATTTTTGAGATAGAGTCTCTGTCACCCAGGCTGGAGTACAGTGGTGCGATCTCAGCTCACTGCAAACTTTGCCTCCTGGGTTCAAGTGATTCTTCTGCCTCAGCCTCCTGAGTAGCTGGGATTATAGGTGCTTGCCACCATACCAGGCTAATTTTTGTATTTTTAGTAGAGATGGGTTTTGCCATGTTGGTCAGGCTGGTCTCGAACTCCTGACCTCAGGTGATCCACCTGCCTAAAGTGTTGGGATTCAGGCATGAGCCACCGCGCCCAGCCCCTAGCTTCTTCCTAACAGCCATTTCCTAGTGTCTCCCCTGGTCCTTGCCTCTGTCGGTCTCACTCCAGTTTCTCTGCCTCCTCCAGGGCCCTTTGTTTGCTCTCTTACCATCTCCCCTTTGGCTTCAGGGCCCTTTACGCTGCCTCTCACTTGCCCCGCACAGATCTTCAGCTTTGAGATCAATGTGAGCGTTGCCATTATCACCTTTGCCTCAGAGCCCAAAGTCCTCATGTCTGTCCTGAACGACAACTCCCGGGATATGACTGAGGTGATCAGCAGCCTGGAAAATGCCAACTATAAAGGTACGGGTGTCATCACGTGATGGTGATGAGAGAGGAGAAGATGGACCCTCTCAGGGCCTGCAAACAAATTCTGGATGAGTTAAAAAGAGAGTGAGGCCTCTTGGTGGCACCTGAGTCCCACGAGTCTGGGGTAGTTTCAACGTCCAGGGTTATGGTGGGGGAGTCCAGCTGCCCCCAGCTCATAGCTCATTCTGAGATGCTGCAGGTCCAAAGACACTGTGCAGGTCTTCAATTCCTTCCAGTTGCCAAAACCACACTGTCTGGTTTGCATGGCTGCACACTGCCATCTCCCCATGTCATTAGCCACCCATACACCATGTAAAGTGCCTGGTTGGCACTTAGCAAATGGCTGAAGCCACTCAAGGTTTTGGAAACCTCATCTTTGAATCTTGGGACTTTAGTGTGGTCTTGGATTGGGGTTATGCAATGAACATTTCTTTTTTCTTCTTCTTTTTTTTTTTTTTGAGGTGGAGTCTCGCACTGTCACCCAGGCTTGAGTGCAGTGGCACGATCTTGGCTCACTGCAACCTCTGCCTCCAGGGTTCAGGCAATTCTCCTGCCTCAGCTTCCCGAGTAGCTGAGATTTCGGGCACCTGCCACCATGCCTGGCTAATTTTTTATATTTTTAGTTGAGATGGGGTTTCACTATGTTGGTCAGGCTGGTCTCGTGATCCTGACTTTGTGATCCGCCCACCTCAGCCTCCCAAAGTGCTGGGATTACAGGCGTGAACCACCTTGCCCGGCCCTATGCAATGAACATTTCTAAGGTGGAAAGGCTTTTAAAGTTTGAACAAGCAATGATGCCACATCTCTATCTGAATGGCAAATGTCTGAGTTTATCAAAACAATCGATAAATTGCATTTCCAGGCCGGGTGCAGTGGCTCATGCCTGTAGTAATCCCAGCACTTTGGGAGGCTGAGATGGGCGGATCACTTGAGGTCAGGAAACCAGCTTGGCCAACATGGTGAAACCCCATCTCTACTAAAAATACAAAAAATTAGCTGGGCATGGTGGCTGGCACCTGTAATCCCAGCTACTTGGGAGACTGAGGCATGAGAATCACTTGAACTGGGGAGGTGGAGGTTGCAGTCAGCCAAGATCACGCCACTATACTCTAGCCTGGGTGGCAGAGCGAGACTCTCTCAAAAAAAAAAAAAAAAATTGCATTTCCAATAATTGGGGGAATAGAGTGATTCCCTACCCCTAGGTGGTAGGTGGGAAGTTTCTAAGAGAGTCCTTCCTTTTGGCATATTCCAGATCATGAAAATGGAACTGGGACTAACACCTATGCGGCCTTAAACAGTGTCTATCTCATGATGAACAACCAAATGCGACTCCTCGGCATGGAAACGATGGCCTGGCAGGAAATCCGACATGCCATCATCCTTCTGACAGATGGTGGGTATCATGGTCTCTGAGTGTGTCTGGAATAGTGGAAGGGGCACCAATATGGGGTCAGAAGCCCTGAATTCTGATTCTCCCTCTGCCTGCCACTTTGGGCCCCAGTTTTGTTTTTGTTTTTAGAGATGGGGCCTTGCTATGTTGCCCAGCTGATCTCAAACTCCTGGCTTCAAGCAATCCTCCTGCCTCAGCCTCCCAAAGTGCTGGGATTACAGGCATGAGCCACCACACCTGGCCCAGTTTCTTATTTATAAAATAGGGCCAGTGTGGTGGCTTATGCCTGTAGTCCCAGCACTTTGGGAGGCCAAAGCGGGTGGATCACTTGAGGTTAGGAGTTTGAGATCAGACTGGCTAACATGGTGAAACCCCGTCTCTACTAAAAATACAAAACCATTAGCTGGGTGTGGTGGCAGGCGCCTGTAATCCCAGCTACTTGGGAGGCTGAGGCAGGAGAATTGCTTGAACCTGGGAGGCAGAGGTTGCAGTGAGCCAAGATCATGCCACTGCACTCCAGCCTGGGTGACAGACCAAGATCCTACCTTGTCTCAAAATAAAATAAATAAATAAATAGAATTAGTGTTGATGATGATGACCGTAACCACAATGACAGCAATGATGATCATGATGGCTGTCCTCCTTTCCTTACACAATTTTTATGGAAAGCTATTTAAGTTGCCTGTGTGAAAGTGCTCTGTGTTAGCTCTTGTTACCATCTGGGAGGTAACTTGGAGATAGATGAGGAAACGTGGCTCTTGAGCAGGAATGTCGAAGGGCACGGATGCAAGGAACAGTCTGTAGTGGATCTGGCCTTGTCATTTGCCTCTTGCTATTGTCCAAATTACACAGTTCCTCCAGGACTTAGTATATAAAATGAGGATACCCACTCTACCTGGGGTTTCATGAGAATTAAATGAGTTAAAGTATAGGAAGCACCTGGCCTGGTGCCTGGAATGTAGAACATTTCAGTAAAAGTGTGTATATATATATATGTATGTATATATATATATATGTATACATACATATATATATATATATTTATTTTTTTGAGACAGGGTCTCACTCTATTGCCCAGGCTGGACTACAGTGGTGCGATCTCGGCTCACTGCAACCTCTGCCTCCCAGGCTGAAGCAATTCTCGTGCCTCAGCCTCCAGAGTAGCTGGGACTACAGGCATGTGTCACCATGCCTGGCTAATTTTTATTTTTATTTTTTGAGATGGAGTTTCACTCTTGTTGCCCAGGCTGGAGTGCAATGGCGCGATTTCGGCTCACCGCAACCTCCGCCTCCCAGGTTCAAGCGATTCTCCTGCCTCCTGAGTAGCTGGGATTACAGGCATGTGCCACCACACCCGGCTAATTTTGTATATTTAGTAGAGGTGCGGTTTCTCCATGTTGGTCAAGCTGGTCTCAAACTCCCAACCTCAGGTGATCCACCTGCCTTGGCCTCCCAAAGTGCTGGGATTACAGGCATGAGCCACCATGCCCGGCCACACCTGGCTAATTTTTTGTGGTTTTAGTAGAGACAGGGTTTCACCATGTTGCCCAGGCTGGTCTGGAACTCCTGAGCTCAGGCAATCCGCCTTCTTCGGTCTCCCAAAGTGCTAGGATTACAGGTGTGAGCCACCATGCCCAGCCTAAAAGTATATTTTGAAGCTCTCACAGGCAATGTAAATGTTGAGGTTCCCAGGCTAAATGCTTTCCTACTCTTCCAGGGCCTGGGGAAATCCTGATATTACCTAGAAGAATTCTTTATTCTCTTTGTTCTAGGAAAGTCCAATATGGGTGGCTCTCCCAAGACAGCTGTTGACCATATCAGAGAGATCCTGAACATCAACCAGAAGAGGAATGACTATCTGGGTGAGCCCCTGCCACTGCCACCACATTTGTTCTGCTCCTGCAGAGGTCATGAGATCTTCAGCCAGGGATCCCAGCATCTTAGCTATGGTCCAGAGCCACATGGTTTTATTTCTGCGTTGTTCTGTACAAAGGCAACTCATGTTGAAGAGCCTGGGGTCAAACTACTGCCCATGGTCTCAACCTTACCTTCTTTTTTTTTTTTTTTTTTTTTAAGACAGTGTCTCACTGACACTCAGAGTATATTCCTGGAAAGATGTCCACCCATGCCGGCCCAGAAGCTGGTCCAGAAAGTAACGATGTCCACCATGCCACCATGAAGTGCAGTGGTGCAATCATAGCTTACTGCAGCCTCAAATTCCTGGTTTCAAGTGATCCCCTCAACTCAGCTTCCCAAAGTGGTAGGATTACAGGTATGAGCCACTATGCTCAGCCCGTCTTCACAAATTTTTTAAAATTAATTTTTAAATTTTTTTTGAGACAGAATCTTGCCGTGTTGCCCAGGCTGGAGTGCAGTGACTCGATCTCAACTCACTGCAACCTCCACGTCCTGGCTTCAAATGATTCTCCTGCCTCAGCCTCCAGAGTAGCTGGGATTACAGGTGTGTGCCACCATGCCCGGCTCATTTTTGCATTTTTAATAGAGACAGAGTTTCACCATGTTGGCAGTCTGGTGTCAAACCCCTGGCCTCAAGTGATCCGCCTGCCTTGGTCTCCCAAGGTGCTGGGATTACAGATAGGCGTGAGCCACTGTGCCTGGCCAATTTTTAATTTTTTAATTATTATTTTTAATCAACAGCTTTAGACAGAGAACCTTGGTTTCATCTTCAGTGGGCTGTGGCCATGGGCAGTTTCTTCATCTGCAAAAGGGGAGTAGTACTAGGACCCAGCTCACAAGCTGACAGGGGAAGATGCTCAGACAAACACTGCCTGCCTGGCATAGAAAAATGCCCAGCATATGTTAGCCATGACCACGACCGTCGTCGTTATCATCATCATCATCATCATAGCATCTCATGTTTCAGGAAACTTTCCAGGAAGAAGGGACCTCGATTCCCTCTGGGGAATGTCCCTGGTGGTTGCTCTTTCAGCAGCACAGCTGGCTAACTAAGGCTTTGGCAGTTGCAGCCTCTAAAGGAAAAATTCCTCAGGTTCAGACTAAACACAAATTGCACTGACCTTTGATCAGAAAGTAATTTCAGAGAGAGAGATGCTCAGACAGGGAGGGCAGCTGGTTTTGAGCCCCAACCTTTCATCTTCCCCTTAGCTCCTCTCCTTTCCATTCACACTGCCCCCTCCCCCATCACCTGGCCCTCGGGGGTAAGCTGATTCCTCTTTAAAACTCTGGCCCAAGGAAGACAAAATTTAAAGCCCACTCCCTTCCTCCTTAGCATCACTGGACCAAGGTCAAATGCTACAAAAACATTTTATTGAAAATAAGCAGGAAACCAAACGAAAATAGTCAAAGAAAACGCACAAGGCACGATCGTTGTCTAGCTCCAACTGTAACTGTTTCTATCTGGGCCATTGCCAGATTGCCTCCTGGCTGAAGATCTCTTGGTCCACCTAAGCACCTTGCTTTTTACACACAACGCGGGGCTCTCTGAGAACAAAAATGGGCCACAAGGGGTGCAAAGGCTGGGAGAGGAGTAGACTCTGTGGTCTGTCTGAGGGCAGTTCTGACTGGCACCACAGTCGGAGGACAGGCGCGGCCTGTTGTGTGGGTCCAGGGCCTCCAGTGGGAAAACGTGGCTTTAGGCCCTTCTCCCAGATGCTACCTTTTACAGAGGAAGACCAGATCTGAGGTTTAGTTTCCATGTTGTGTTCTGAGTTCTTTCTATTCATTCAGTCATTTAAAAGTACTTACCAAACTACCACAAACCTGGGTGGCTTAGAACACAGAATTTCTTTTTCTTACAGTTCTGGAGGTTAGAAGTCTGAAATCAAGGTGTTGGCAGGGCCGTGCTTCCTCAGAAGGCTCTTGGGAAGAATTCTTTCCTGCCTTTTCCGGCTGCCGGCAGCTCCAACCTTGGCTTGCGGCAGCATAAACCCATTCTCTGCCTCTGTCTTCAACTCGCCTTCTTTTCTGTGTGTGCCTCTGTGTCATTACATGCTGTTCTCTTATATAGATAGGAGACCCACTACCTGTGTCTTTGTGTCCAAATTCCTTTCTTCTTTTTCTGTTCATTTGTTTGAGACAGAGTCTCGCTCTGTCACCCAGAAGCCCAGGCTGCAGTGCAGTGGCGGGATCCCGGCTCACTGTAACCTCTGCCTCCTGGGTTCAGGTGATTCTCGTGCCTCAGTCTCCCAAGAAGCTGGGATTACAGGCATGTGCCACCATGCCCGGCAAATTTTTGTATTTTTAGTAGAGACATGGTCTCGCCATGTTGGCTAGGCTGGTCTTAAACTCCTGGCCTCAAGGCGATCTGCCTGCCTTCGCCTCAAAAAAACTGCCGGGATTACAGGCATGAGTCACCACCATGCCCAGCCAGTTCACTTTTTTTTTTTTTTTTTTTTTTTGAGATGGAGTCTTGCTCTGTTGCCCAGGCTGGAGTGCAGTGGTGCAATCTCGGCTCACTGCAACATCCGCCTCCCGGTTCAAGCGATTCTCCTGCCTCAGCCTCCTGAGTAGCTGGGATTACAGGTGTGTGCCAGCATGTCTGGCTAATTTTTGTATTTTTAGTAGAGACAGGGTTTCACCATGTTGGTCAGGCTGGTCTTGAATTCCTGACCTCGTGATCTGCCCGCCTCAGCCTCCCAGAGTGCTGGGATTACAGGTGTGAGCCACCGTGCCCGGCTCACCTCTTCTTTTTTTTTTTTTTGAGACGGGGTTTTGCTCTTGTTGCCCAGGCTGGAGTGCAATGGCGCGATCTTGGCTCACCACAACCACCGCCTCCTGGTGATTACAGGTGTGAGCCACCACGCCTGGCTCTGGCTTACCTCTTCTTATAAGGACCTCAGTCATTGGATTAGAGCTCACCCTAATCTAGTATGACTTAATCTTAACTTGATTACATCTGCAAAGACCCTTTTTCCAAATAAAGTCACAGATACTGGGGATTAGGACTCGAACACATCTTTCTGGGGGACACAATTCCACCATTACAGGGAATAAACAGGATAAGAAAACCATAGAACCCAGCAGGTGGTAGGTGACACAAGCTAAGGGGTGTTGCCATGTTGCCCAGGCTGGTCTCAAACTTCTGGCTTCAAGGGATCCTCCCACCTTGCCTCCCAAAGTGGGGATGAAAGTTTGTCTGGGGCATTGCAGTTTTAGACAGGAAGACCAGGGAAGGCCTCACTGAGAAGGTGACATTTGAGCCAAGACTTAAAAAGGTACGAAAGTGAGCCATGTGGAAGTCTGGGGGGGAGGAGTGAACTAGGCAGAGGCACAGCTGGGCAAAGGGCCTGAGGTGTGACCATGCCTATGGATTTGAGGAACTTCAAAGAGGCTGTGTGCTGCAGGAGAGTGAAGGGCAGGGAGTGGCAGGAAATGAAGGCAGACAGGTAGCAGTGGGGAGGACGCAGGGGTCCAGCTCATGTAGGTCTTGATTGGACACAGTGAGTTTCAGATGACAGCCTCCTGTCTCATGGGGTAGCCCCAAAGCCACAGGAGTCTGGTGATTTCCCTCTTCCCCACCAGACATCTATGCCATCGGGGTGGGCAAGCTGGATGTGGACTGGAGAGAACTGAATGAGCTAGGGTCCAAGAAGGATGGTGAGAGGCATGCCTTCATTCTGCAGGACACAAAGGCTCTGCACCAGGTCTTTGAACATATGCTGGGTGAGTGAGCTTTGCCCTCCTTGGTGTGGGGAGGATGGTGAGGAGCCCGCCAGAGGCCCGTGTTGGGAACCTGGACACAGTGCCCCTCACTTGCCTCCTTCCCCATCTGATCCTCACACCCACAGATGTCTCCAAGCTCACAGACACCATCTGCGGGGTGGGGAACATGTCAGCAAACGCCTCTGACCAGGAGAGGACACCCTGGCATGTCACTATTAAGGTACCAGGAAGGAGGGGCAGGGCTTGGATTCCAGAGGTAAAAGCGGCCATGGGCCAGACATACTGCAATCTCTGAAAATCACCTGTTCCCCTGCAGCCCAAGAGCCAAGAGACCTGCCGGGGGGCCCTCATCTCCGACCAATGGGTCCTGACAGCAGCTCATTGCTTCCGCGATGGCAACGACCACTCCCTGTGGAGGGTCAATGTGGGTAAGGCAGGGGATGCACCAGCCTCCTGATCCTGAAGCCACAGATCCTACCACCTCACCCAGCCTCTGGCCCCTGCAGGAGCCCTGGTCTAGCCTAATCTAGTGTATCATTTCCAGGAGACCCCAAATCCCAGTGGGGCAAAGAATTCCTTATTGAGAAGGCGGTGATCTCCCCAGGGTTTGATGTCTTTGCCAAAAAGAACCAGGGAATCCTGGAGTTCTATGGTGATGACATAGCTCTGCTGAAGCTGGCCCAGAAAGTAAAGATGTCCACCCATGCCAGGTGCCTGGAGTCTGGGATGGGAGGGTGCCCTGCAGGGAAGAGTGCTCTGGAGATCCCTGGAAGAGATACTGGGGACAGGCTGGTGTGACCCTTGCTCTTCTCCCCAGGCCCATCTGCCTTCCCTGCACGATGGAGGCCAATCTGGCTCTGCGGAGACCTCAAGGCAGCACCTGTAGGGACCATGGTGAGTGCTGGGACTTATGGTGCTTGAGAGCTGGGGCCGGGGTTTGGGGGTGATAACAAGGACTAGGCTGCAGTCCCCAAGCCAGGAACCTGGATTCTGGGTAAAAGGACCAGCACCAACATCCCCTTCTCTTGACTATAGAGAATGAACTGCTGAACAAACAGAGTGTTCCTGCTCATTTTGTCGCCTTGAATGGGAGCAAACTGAACATTAACCTTAAGATGGGAGTGGAGGTGAGGGTCTCAGGTTGGGGATGCTGGGATCCCCCTGTGACAGCTCCCAGAATGTCTCTCTTCCTTCTCCAGGTCTGGCTGCTTTCTCTCTCTGACGCGGGTCACCCCTCCTCCCAAGCCTCACAAACCTGCTAGGTGTCCCTGGGTCTGCTTATTCTTTTTTTGTTGTTATTGAGATGGAGTCTTGCTCTGTCTCCCAGGCTGGAGTGCAGTGGCACGACCTCAGCTCACTGCAACTTCTGCCTCCTGGGTTCAAGCGATTCTCCTACTTCAGCCTCCCGAGTAGCTGAGATTACAGGTGCCCACCACCACACCAGCTAATTTTTGTATTTTTAGTAGAGACGGGATTTCGCCATGTTGGCCAGGATGGTCTTGAACTCCTGACCTCAAGTGATCTGCCTGCCTCAACCTCCCAAAGTGCTGAGATTACAGGCGTGAGCCACTGCACCCACCCGGGTCTGCTTATTCTACCCTTCTCTCTGGTTCCACCCCTGCTGCAGTGGACAAGCTGTGCCGAGGTTGTCTCCCAAGAAAAAACCATGTTCCCCAACTTGACAGATGTCAGGGAGGTGGTGACAGACCAGTTCCTATGCAGTGGGACCCAGGAGGATGAGAGTCCCTGCAAGGGTGAGTCCCTCACCATGCCTGGATTCCCAAGGGGAAGGCCACCTGTGTCTCTGTGGCCAGCATGCATGCCAGAACACCAGTCCACTGCCCTAGATGACACTGTCTCCTGTCACCCTTTGCTGGCAGGAGAATCTGGGGGAGCAGTTTTCCTTGAGCGGAGATTCAGGTTTTTTCAGGTGAGAAGGTAGAAGCTTGCAGGACCCAGGGGTTACAGGATCTCAGCCTTGTTGGGGGGATGAGGGAGGCCTTTGAGGGATCTAGGGAGGTTGGGGCTTACAGTTGGGGCTGTGGCAGCCTCCCAGCCAGTTCTCTCCTTTTCTCCAGGTGGGTCTGGTGAGCTGGGGTCTTTACAACCCCTGCCTTGGCTCTGCTGACAAAAACTCCCGCAAAAGGGCCCCTCGTAGCAAGGTCCCGCCGCCACGAGACTTTCACATCAATCTCTTCCGCATGCAGCCCTGGCTGAGGCAGCACCTGGGGGATGTCCTGAATTTTTTACCCCTCTAGCCATGGCCACTGAGCCCTCTGCTGCCCTGCCAGAATCTGCCGCCCCTCCATCTTCTACCTCTGAATGGCCACCCTTAGACCCTGTGATCCATCCTCTCTCCTAGCTGAGTAAATCCGGGTCTCTAGGATGCCAGAGGCAGCGCACACAAGCTGGGAAATCCTCAGGGCTCCTACCAGCAGGACTGCCTCGCTGCCCCACCTCCCGCTCCTTGGCCTGTCCCCAGATTCCTTCCCTGGTTGACTTGACTCATGCTTGTTTCACTTTCACATGGAATTTCCCAGTTATGAAATTAATAAAAATCAATGGTTTCCACATCTCTCAGTGCCTCTATCTGGAGGCCAGGTAGGGCTGGCCTTGGGGGAGGGGGAGGCCAGAATGACTCCAAGAGCTACAGGAAGGCAGGTCAGAGACCCCACTGGACAAACAGTGGCTGGACTCTGCACCATAACACACAATCAACAGGGGAGTGAGCTGGATCCTTATTTCTGGTCCCTAAGTGGGTGGTTTGGGCTTACTGGGGAGGAGCTAAGGCCGGAGAGGAGGTACTGAAGGGGAGAGTCCTGGACCTTTGGCAGCAAAGGGTGGGACTTCTGCAGTTTCTGTTTCCTTGACTGGCAGCTCAGCGGGGCCCTCCCGCTTGGATGTTCCGGGAAAGTGATGTGGGTAGGACAGGCGGGGCGAGCCGCAGGTGCCAGAACACAGATTGTATAAAAGGCTGGGGGCTGGTGGGGAGCAGGGGAAGGGAATGTGACCAGGTCTAGGTCTGGAGTTTCAGCTTGGACACTGAGCCAAGCAGACAAGCAAAGCAAGCCAGGACACACCATCCTGCCCCAGGCCCAGCTTCTCTCCTGCCTTCCAACGCCATGGGGAGCAATCTCAGCCCCCAACTCTGCCTGATGCCCTTTATCTTGGGCCTCTTGTCTGGAGGTAAGCGAGGGTAACCTTCCCTTCCTGCTGTCTCCAGCATCCCTCCTTGGCCTTTTGGGGCCAGGCTTCATCAGCCTTTCTCTTCAGGTGTGACCACCACTCCATGGTCTTTGGCCCGGCCCCAGGGATCCTGCTCTCTGGAGGGGGTAGAGATCAAAGGCGGCTCCTTCCGACTTCTCCAAGAGGGCCAGGCACTGGAGTACGTGTGTCCTTCTGGCTTCTACCCGTACCCTGTGCAGACACGTACCTGCAGATCTACGGGGTCCTGGAGCACCCTGAAGACTCAAGACCAAAAGACTGTCAGGAAGGCAGAGTGCAGAGGTTTGAGGGCAATGAGTGTGGGCAGTGGCCTAAGGCAGAAACAGGGCAGGCGGCAGCAAGGTCAGGACTAGGATGAGACTAGGCAGGGTGACAAGGTGGGCTGACCGGGAGTAGGAGCAGTTTTAGGGTGGCAGGCGGAAAGGGGGCAAGAAAAAGCGGAGTTAACCCTTACTAAGCATTTACCCTGGGCTTCCAGGCAGCCCTGGAAGTCAAGAGAACACTCAGAAATGGGGAGGGAGAAGCAGTGGAAATCCATATGGGTTGAGGAGTAGGTAAGATGCTGCTTCTGCGGGACTGGGAATGCGCTGTTTCTCAGTGACATGGTCTCCGAGACCAGGAGGGATACACCTAAGGCAGCCTTTCCCTCTTGATGACTTCTACTTGTCCCCCCTTCTCAAAGCAATCCACTGTCCAAGACCACACGACTTCGAGAACGGGGAATACTGGCCCCGGTCTCCCTACTACAATGTGAGTGATGAGATCTCTTTCCACTGCTATGACGGTTACACTCTCCGGGGCTCTGCCAATCGCACCTGCCAAGTGAATGGCCGGTGGAGTGGGCAGACAGCGATCTGTGACAACGGAGGTGAGAAGCATCCCCTCCCCCTACATTGCTGTCTCCCTGACGGCGCCCAGCCCGAGGAGTGGGCACTCGGCTCCGGACACTGTAACTCTTGCTCTCTACCTTGCTCACGGGGCCTCAGGCTTCAGTGCTTACCTCGATGTCTCATACCTCTGCAGCGGGGTACTGCTCCAACCCGGGCATCCCCATTGGCACAAGGAAGGTGGGCAGCCAGTACCGCCTTGAAGACAGCGTCACCTACCACTGCAGCCGGGGGCTTACCCTGCGTGGCTCCCAGCGGCGAACGTGTCAGGAAGGTGGCTCTTGGAGCGGGACGGAGCCTTCCTGCCAAGGTGACCTTTGACCTGTACCCCCAGGTCAGATCCTGGTCTTCCATCCTACTGTCTTCTCTCCCCACCTCAACCCTGCTCTTTCCTCACTTTGTTTAAACCTCCCTGTACAACTATCTCACTTCTGAGCCTTTTATACCCTGGAAACCCATGATCCCCCGTCTCTTTGGTCACTGTATCCCTGACACTCCCAGACATTTGACCTCATTTCTGACTCTCCCAGACTCCTTCATGTACGACACCCCTCAAGAGGTGGCCGAAGCTTTCCTGTCTTCCCTGACAGAGACCATAGAAGGAGTCGATGCTGAGGATGGGCACGGCCCAGGTTTGAAGACAGAGAAGGGAGGCAGGGCAGGGAACTGGGGGAAAATGGAGAAGGGACAGAACTGTTAATGCTGGAGCCTGAGCCACTCTCCTGGCACCCAGGGGAACAACAGAAGCGGAAGATCGTCCTGGACCCTTCAGGCTCCATGAACATCTACCTGGTGCTAGATGGATCAGACAGCATTGGGGCCAGCAACTTCACAGGAGCCAAAAAGTGTCTAGTCAACTTAATTGAGAAGGTGGAATCCTCCTATCCCTGAACTCGGGGGAATGGAATCTCGCTGATCTTCCAGGACTAGCTCCCTGATCATTCCAGCCCCTCTGAACAACAGGGCCCCAGGAAAATCTCCAGGTCCTATTCTGTCCTCCTTCCCTTTTACTTGAAGCAGTTTCTTGACTGGTAATTCCTCCATGAACCTCAGCCCTTGAGCCTCTTACTGAGAGCCTCCCTGTCCCAGCAAAGTCGCTGAAATCTCCCAATCACAGTATTCTATTTTCAATGCCATGGCGCCTTGTTCTCCTCACCCACAGGTGGCAAGTTATGGTGTGAAGCCAAGATATGGTCTAGTGACATATGCCACATACCCCAAAATTTGGGTCAAAGTGTCTGAAGCAGACAGCAGTAATGCAGACTGGGTCACGAAGCAGCTCAATGAAATCAATTATGAAGGTCAGAGGTTAGGGAATGGTGGGAGGTTCACTTTGGGGTCAGGAGGTTCAGGGTGGAGGGGGTCATGAGACTACCTTGAGGGCGACAGGGAGGACCACTTTGTAGTCAAAGGTTGAACAGCAGGATCGTTGGGCAATGGAGGTTAGTGGGAACCTGTTGGGGGCTGGAAGGGCCACTTTGTGGTCAAAGGGAAGTCCGTGTAATGATGATTAACTTAAAAAGTTGAAAGATGTGGGATTTCAGTTGCAGATTGGTCTCTGGGGTTAAAAGATGGCTTGGAAGACCAGGTGAGGTGATGGTCTCTTCCCTCTCCACAGACCACAAGTTGAAGTCAGGGACTAACACCAAGAAGGCCCTCCAGGCAGTGTACAGCATGATGAGCTGGCCAGATGACGTCCCTCCTGAAGGCTGGAACCGCACCCGCCATGTCATCATCCTCATGACTGATGGTCAGAAGGGACCTCTCTCCTGTCCCAGCCTCCCCACCTTCTCAGACCAGCATGTGGCCCTTAAGTCCACTTGTAACACTATACCCATGGTTGGGGCCCTGAATGTGACTCATAGCTGGCTGTTCATCTCTCCTGTGACCCTTCATAAGGAATTCTTCCTAAGCCCTGTGATCAACTATCTCTAACCCTTCCTCAACTTGCTCACCCTGCCATGTGTATCCCTGCCTTTAGCCAGTTTATCTTCCTTATCTCCTACCCTCATGGTCCTGTCTCTTCTGCAGGATTGCACAACATGGGCGGGGACCCAATTACTGTCATTGATGAGATCCGGGACTTGCTATACATTGGCAAGGATCGCAAAAACCCAAGGGAGGATTATCTGGGTGAGTAACCTGCCTAGGACCCAGCACCCCACTTCCTCAGGGCTTGGACCCTCATCCTTCCTTTTTATCCCTCAGATGTCTATGTGTTTGGGGTCGGGCCTTTGGTGAACCAAGTGAACATCAATGCTTTGGCTTCCAAGAAAGACAATGAGCAACATGTGTTCAAAGTCAAGGATATGGAAAACCTGGAAGATGTTTTCTACCAAATGATCGGTAGGGAGATACAAGGGAATAAAGAACACAACTCTCCTCAGGTTCCCCTGAAGTAATTCATTCTTCCTCTACACCTGAAGCTCTAGTTGCCTGGAAAGCCTTCTTCATTCCTCCTTCTCTACCTCAGTGTCACTATTCTTGTTTCCTGGCACTGTTCACTTAACCTTAGAATCACAGAGCTCTGAGCACTTCAGAGATCTTTCTATAGTCCTACATTTGACACGTGGAAACAGAAGCCAAAGGAGGTCAAGGGACAGCAAGTTAGCAACAAGGGTGGGCTTGAAAACAGCCAGGCCTCTGACAGCTTGATCCCAAGTTCTTTCCCTTTTCAGTCCACCATAGCAGTTTTCTCCTAACACGAGGAAACAAATACCCGTGGTCTTTCCCTTTCTCCTTTTGGGCCTTTGCTCCCCATAGACTCCTACCCAAAAGGCTGCTGCCATTTGGGAATGAAGTGTTCCGAGTTTTCAGCACATTCTCCTTCTCTGCCAGATGAAAGCCAGTCTCTGAGTCTCTGTGGCATGGTTTGGGAACACAGGAAGGGTACCGATTACCACAAGCAACCATGGCAGGCCAAGATCTCAGTCATTGTAAGCACAGAATCCCAGTAGTGGGGACTTGGGGGAGGTGAGGTCAAGGTGAAATGGGAGTAGGGGAAGGAAAAAATGGCCATAAGAGATGGTGGTTTGTGAAAGTTGAGCTTTC
Source organism: Homo sapiens (assembly GCF_000001405.40). NCBI lineage: Eukaryota > Metazoa > Chordata > Mammalia > Primates > Hominidae > Homo > Homo sapiens. The sequence continues at coordinate 3,198,043 of NT_167245.2, forward strand.
CCTCTCTACTGTTGTGTCCCCAGCGCCCTTCAAAGGGACACGAGAGCTGTATGGGGGCTGTGGTGTCTGAGTACTTTGTGCTGACAGCAGCACATTGTTTCACTGTGGATGACAAGGAACACTCAATCAAGGTCAGCGTAGGTAAGGATGCAACTGAAGGTCCTGGGCTGCACCTATGCTCTCCAGGCAACACCTCCCACTTTCTACAGATCCTACACTCCACCCATCCTCAATGCAGCCCCATTCCTTGCACCCCAGACCAGTCAGGGATGGGGGAAGACGTGAAGTTAGGAATGACACGGGGCCAGAGGCAGGAAGCTGCCCACAAAGAGGTGGTACCTACTCTCCTACTTCAGGAGGGGAGAAGCGGGACCTGGAGATAGAAGTAGTCCTATTTCACCCCAACTACAACATTAATGGGAAAAAAGAAGCAGGAATTCCTGAATTTTATGACTATGACGTTGCCCTGATCAAGCTCAAGAATAAGCTGAAATATGGCCAGACTATCAGGTGAGAGCGTCCAGATCCCTGAGGAAAGGCTGGGAAAGGCTGGAGGACTGGGGTGAGGAGCAGGCCTGGTTTGCTGTTCTCCTTGTCCTTTATAGGCCCATTTGTCTCCCCTGCACCGAGGGAACAACTCGAGCTTTGAGGCTTCCTCCAACTACCACTTGCCAGCAACAAAGTAAGACATACTTGGCAAGAGGATAAGGATGAGATCCCAAGAGACAAGTGGGGCATGAGAGGGAGGTGCAATAGGAAGAGATGATGCCTGGCCCAGAACCTAGCTCTAGAAGGGCTTAGGGGACATCTACTGAGTGACAAAGGCAATGGGGAGATGACAGTGGTGGGAGCAGCTGAAGTGACGCAGTCTATTCGTCCAGAGGAAGAGCTGCTCCCTGCACAGGATATCAAAGCTCTGTTTGTGTCTGAGGAGGAGAAAAAGCTGACTCGGAAGGAGGTCTACATCAAGAATGGGGATAAGGTGAGAAACGGGCATCCTAAGGAGGCACTCTAGGCCCCAATCCTTCCTAAGCCACTTCTGTTCATTACTTCTCCATGCTTCCCACCTCCCCTACAGAAAGGCAGCTGTGAGAGAGATGCTCAATATGCCCCAGGCTATGACAAAGTCAAGGACATCTCAGAGGTGGTCACCCCTCGGTTCCTTTGTACTGGAGGAGTGAGTCCCTATGCTGACCCCAATACTTGCAGAGGTGAGAGAATGCTCTTTGGTTGTGCTACAAGTGCCCAAGGCCCAACAGTCCTTTTCTCTACAGCTTCTCCTCTCCTTGCAGGTGATTCTGGCGGCCCCTTGATAGTTCACAAGAGAAGTCGTTTCATTCAAGTGAGTCCTCCCTTTCCTATCTGGGGAGATGCCAAGTGGTCAGCATGGGCCCCAAAGCAGGAAAGCTCAATGCATGTGGCTAGTAATTCGAGGTAGGCAGAGCCTGCCTCACCTTAGGACCGCATGTCTTGCCTGCGTGTGTCAAGAACGAGGCTGAGCTGGGTCCCTAGTCTGATTCCTTTAGGTCAGCTAAGACGCAAGCAGGAACAGCCATGCTTCCAGGATTAGGAATTCTACTGAATGATCCATGGCACCCCACTGCCTCTGCAGGTTGGTGTAATCAGCTGGGGAGTAGTGGATGTCTGCAAAAACCAGAAGCGGCAAAAGCAGGTACCTGCTCACGCCCGAGACTTTCACATCAACCTCTTTCAAGTGCTGCCCTGGCTGAAGGAGAAACTCCAAGATGAGGATTTGGGTTTTCTATAAGGGGTTTCCTGCTGGACAGGGGCGTGGGATTGAATTAAAACAGCTGCGACAACACCTGTGTTCCAGATCCTTTTGGGGCAAGGGAGTGGGGAACAGGCACTGGCCATGTTGTTACACTGAGATCAAACCTGACAGCCGTTTTTAAAGGTTTAACCCCAATCCCAAGTGCTGAAAAACCAGAGGCTGAGGGAGATGTGTAAGCTTCCACCTCAGTGTTTTACTGAGACCAGCATTGGGGCATATGAGGCACAAGGAATCCAGCTCTGTTCCCTAGAAGCCATCCACAAGGTTTTCCTTGTAGACGTCATCACTGTAGACAATCTGGGTCCTCTTGTCCCGGTGGCAACCCTTAGGGCTGTTCTGGACAGCTAGGGAGGGAGGAGAGGAACAGTTAAGGTCTAAAGGAGATCATAGAACAGACCCTGAGGCTGACTCCTGACCACCTCACTCCTGGCCACTGGCCCCTGGAAGCCCAGTTTCCACGCTGCCCTCTGGTGGCCAGGATGGCCTGTCTTCCTTAGCTCCTTTGTGCCAACCCATGGCCAAGAAAAGTATAAGTGGACATTTTGATGAATGTTTTGTTCTTAGAAAAATCCCAAATGTCATTGTTGAGACACGTGAATGATATTAACCCACTACTTACAGTCAGTATGTCAGAAGCTAAAAACTAGAAAACCTCTGTAGCCCTTTTTTGACATGCTGGTCAATTCTAGTTCCTTTCTTTTGCCTGAAGGGCCACTGTAGCTGAGCCCTTCTTTCTGCTCACTCCTTTCCCAGGAAAATCTACTTTCAGGGAAAATGGATTATTCACACTAAGAAATGCTACTAGCTCCACCAGAACTCATTCAGGGTGTAGCTTTGGCCCTCACCATTCTCTCTCAAGCCTCTAGCTGTTTCTTCCCCTTCCTCTTTCCTCCCTCCACCAGACATGTTACTCTCTTCACCCCATCCAATGGTTCCATCCCCACCACCCTTGAGCTACAGAGAATCTCTCTCACCCACTCCCATCCTGTGATCTCTGTGCCTCAACACTGCTGGCTACTCCCTCTTTCTCAAAGTGTGTGTTCTTTTGCTTCAGTGGCCCAGGCCCCTGCGGTGCTGCTCCCAGCCCTCCGACCCCTCCTCCTGTCTCCTTTGCTAACGTTAGGCTCAACGTTAGCCTAACATGTCAGGACAGCTGGGGACATGTGGGGTGTGAGGTGAACAGTCCTGTTTCCTAACATAGTCCCAGAGTACTCCTCAAACTGAGTCCTGGGTCGTTTTTTTTTCTCTGAAATCAGAGTCTCCCTGATGATCCTATTGTTTGGCAGCCACCCTGTGATGTGGATGACTTAATCTATGTTTTCCTTCCTTACCTCACACCTGAGTTCCAGATCCCTGATTTCGAATACTTATGAAACTCACTCTACTCCATCTCAAAATGAACAAGCCCCATGAGACACTCATCTTCCTCACCAATCTCACTCCAGCTCCCACTTTCTTCCCTGTTCCAGTCACTGCTTTGGAAGCTGTTTTCAATCCTTTTCTCTCCTTTCTTTACCTCTAACTGACAGAGGATCTGAAATTTTCCTTCCCATTCCCATAGCCTCCGCACACACTCTGACCTCGATCATCTCTAGGAAACCCAAGGATGTGTGGGGGAACCAAAAGGAATGGCCTGTGGGGGAGAGGATGGGAAAGGAAGAATCCCATTCTTACCGAGGGAGCCCCAGACAGACTTGCCAGTAGCGGCATCCAGCATGGGCTGTTTTCGGGCTATGTTGACTTTGAGCTGTACAGACTCCACCTGGGTCCCGTTGAGCTGAAGCAGAAGAGGGGAGGCAGAGGATGGGGAGGAAAACATTACAGATAAACCAAAGAAGTTATTCCAGGAGTTGCTATCCTAGGAGGAGACTGAATAAGGAATCTGAGAATGTGAGTTTTTCTGTGTGAATAGGGAGAGGCTTTCTTTATCAAGAGGAACCAACTTCTTCCTGGCATCTAGTATTTTGAGGAGAACACATGAGAACAGCAGAAGCGATGGGAAGAACAGATTTGGGAAGTTCCAACCTCAGCAACGGCCTGATCTGCTGACTCCATCTTTTCATAGGTGACGAAGGCACAGCTGGGATAAGAGAAAACACGGTCAGTGGAGAGCCAAGGGGCTCTTCTGGACCCAACCAAACCCAGTGATAATAGGCGGCTGCAGGGAGGGCAGCTTCTTCCCTCAGGTCTCACACCCCAGGATTCTCCCAGGACTTCTCATCATGCCCTGTTGTCATCCTTACTTTCTGGGTGGGTCCATGGAGAGGTCAATGATGTTTCCAAAAGGAGAGAAGGCCCCACGGAGAAGGGTGGGTGTCATGTCTTCTCCATATACATAGAGAGTATTCCCTTTCCTAGGGGCTCGCCGTTCAGGGAATGAATCCGACCCTTTGGGAGCACAAATCATAGTCACAAGACATAGCCCATGCCACATTTCACTTAGTAGGACCCACATAAACCTCAGTTAAGGTCACCTTGACCTCCAGCCAAAATCACTCACTGCGGAAAGGACCCTCTCGGTCTCGGTCTCGATCCCGCTCCCGATCCCTGTCCCGTTCCCGGTCTCGATCTCGATCCCGATCCCGATCCCTGTCCCGCTCTCTGTCTCTGTCTCGATCCCGGTCTCGATCCCGCTCCCGATCTCGGTCTCTGTCCCGGTTCCTCTCATGGCTGCGGTCCCGGCTGCGGCTTCGGGGAGGGGAGGCTGAGGAGTGGGCACCACTGCGTTCTTCATAGCCCCAGTCAAAGCTTCGAGGGGGACCATCACCAGCCCCTGGGCCCTCTGCCTCTTCTCCATCTGGTCCTAGTTCTCGAAGTCGATCACTAGAAGACACAAAGCTGGGGAGATGCAGACTGAAGATCAAAGGGGGGTTTTACCTTCTCCCCTCAGACCCTGTGGAGACTCAATATTCCCTCTATAGCCCAGCTCCTACAGCCCAAACCTCCCAAGGACTCAGGCAATCAACTCCACCAAATGGGCCCAGCCTTATCTCTACTCTCTAACCTCTCATACAGAGATTTCCTCTGGGGACGTCTGGATGACTGTAAAAGAGACCAAGAACAGTTAAGATGATTTCCAGTTGCTGACATGTGGTCCAAAATATATTTGTCTCTCATATTCCTCCATCCCCAACCCCTCAGGGACAGAAATTAGGAGCCTTTACCTCTTGCAGGTCATCATCAGCAGATATGCTCCTCTGGAACGGCTGGAAAGTGGGGACTGGTCCCTTCTCGGGGTCCTGGAGTGGTGAGAGACCTACCTCAGTGTGGAGCAGGAGGTTGCCCAACCATGGACCAGAGGTGTTCCTCTTCCCTCACCCTCTTCTAGGTTTCCTCTGATCTTTTCTTCCCTTTTAATTCTACATACATTTCTTATTTGACGTGGTTTTACTTATTTTTTTTTTTTTTTTTTGAGACACGGTCCTGCTCTGTTGTCCAGGCTGGAGTGCAATAGAGCAATCGTAGCTTGCTGCAGCCTTGACCTCCCATGCTCAAGCAATCCTCCTACCTCAGCCTCCCTAGTAGCTGGGACTAGAGATGTGCTCTACCATGCTTGGCTAATTTCTGTATTTTTTTTTTTTTTTGTAGAGATAGGGTTTCACTATGTTGCCAGGGCTGGTCTCAAACTCCTGGGCTCAAGCAATCCTCCTACCTCGGCCTCCTAAAGTGCTGAAATTAACCAGGAATGAGCCATTGCCGCACCTGCCATTGTGGCTTGTTTTGTTTTTGAGACAGAATCTTGCTCTGTCGTCCAGGCTGGAGTGCAGTGGTGTGATCTCCACTCACTGCAACCTCTGCCTCCTGGGTTCAAGTGATTCTCTGGCCTCAGCCTCCTCAGTAACTGGGACTATAAGTGTGCACCACCACATTCTGCTAATTTTTTTTTTTTTTGAGACGGAGTCTCGCTGTCACCCAGGCTGGAGTGCAGTGGCACAATCTCGACTCACTGCAAGCTCCGCCTCCTGGGTTCAAGCAATTCTCCTGCCTCAGCCTCCCAAGTAGCTGGGACTACAGGCGCCCGCCACCACGCCCGGCTAATTTTTGTATTTTTAGTAGAGATGGGGTTTCACCTTGTTAGCCAGGATGGTCTCGATCTCCTGACCTCGTGATCCGCCTGCCTCGGCCTCCCAAAGTGCTGGGATTACAGGTGTGAGCCACCGCGCCCGGCCTCACACCCTGCTGATTTTTGTATTTTTAGTAGAGACGGGGTTTTACCATGTTGGCCAGGTTGGTCTTAAACTCCTAATCTCAAGTGATCTGCCCACCTCAGCCTCCCAAAGTGCTGGGATTACAGGCATGAGCCACCACGCCCAGCTGGTATTTTTTATAAGTGACTCGATATATTATGTATTCAGTTTATTTGAACCTCTCTTGAACCTGATAACATTTTCAGCCCTTTCCATCCCTTAGGGCAACATATTCCAAGAGCTCCAATCCAAGGTGGATTAGAACCACAGAATTTGTAAAATGGAGAATTCAGGAGTCGTCTAGTTTTTTCATTTTATACATGAGAGGTGAAACTCAGAATGGTACAGCAATTTGCCAGTGCTTGAGTATGCATATTTTTCCCCAAACCCATCTACATTCCAACTTGGAGGGATGCCCTTTAAACAATCTTTCTGCTTGTGCTCACCTTTAACTTCCCCTCAAGGGTTCGAGAACGCTTGAAGCCTGAGTTCTTGGTCTCAGCCTTGATGGCACTGATGGCTCCTGACTTCACCAGCTGCTTTGCCTGCTCTGTTGCTGTGGCTGTGTCCATGACAGGCTGCTCTGATAGTGCTGGAGAGACAAGGGGAAGAGGCATTATGTTGGCCAAGCCATGATGAAGGTCAGCTCCATGCTGCCCACTTCCAGTCCATCCCCATTTCCCCTGTCACTCACAGCGTTTGACACCACCTTGGCTGGTTGTGCTGCTGCTACTTTGCTTCTTCAGAGCCAGCAATGCCTTTTTCTGGGAACAAGGGTGAGAAGAGAGAGGTAAGTGAGGGCCAGCCCCTAGCCGGTTCCTCTCCTAAGGCCCCTGGGCACATCACTCCAGGGACCGTCTTTCTTGATGCCCTCAGAGTGGTACACTGATGTGCTCTGCCTCTTGCCTCTGGTCCCCTAGATCATGTATGATGCTGGAAATTCCTAATCTAACCAAACCACGGAACCCAGAGGTTTTCCAGAGTGTTACATTTTTGAAGTTGAAGACAAATAACTCAATCATGGACTAGAATCCTAGGATATAAGCTGCAAGTAAGTATAAGTTTATGTGCCTTTCCTGGAAGCTTCATCCATCTATTTCCTGCATATTGAATGAGGCCCAGCCATGACTTCGTAACAGGGATATCCAGGAGGCTAATGCATTGTTCCTACCCTCAAGAAGCTTACAGTCTGAGAAATAAAATACATTGAGTTAGCAATACAATTATAAGAGGTGCAGATTATTCATAGCTGAAAGCTAGTAAGATTTTCTGATGTTTAATGGCTATTAAACTAGGCCCTCTCCCGTATCTCTGCACAACACAGAGAGGAGAAGGGTATTTTAGAAAAAGAAAACAGGGTGGCAAAGATGCAGAGATAAGAAGGCTTTGGGAATGCATCTTTTGGAAGTAGTGAATAGTTCTACTTTACTAGACAAGGCTGCCAAACTAAGGTTTTGAGGCTTTTTTATAGACAATGTGAAGCCATTTATGGTTTTTGAGAAACAGAGGGAGCAGAATTTTGTGTTTTCAATGGATCATTTGAACAGGAGTGAAGAAGTCTGTTCAAAAAAAAAGACTGAGAAATTTGTTGAGAGACCATTACAATGGCCCACATGAATGTCAATAAAGCCCTGCTCGGGGGAATGCACAGTGAAGAATAAACAGGAAAAATTACTTCAAAAGAAGAAACAATAAGACTTGGCAAAGGTTTGACTATGCAAATAGTGGGGAAGTCAGAGTTTTGAGTCCAAACATGTGGCAGAATTGGTGTAGTCAATCTTATTTGGAAGATCAAGAATAGAAAGATGATAGCTTCAACACTGAGTATCTGAAGTTTTTCAGTATAACACTGGATAGAACTGGAAAAAACAAACTTGGGGATCATCAGCTCTTAAGCGGTACTAAAAGCCATGGGAAAGGAAGACAATCCATGGCAAATTGCATAGAAAAGACAGAAGGTCCACACCAAGGCTTGGGAAAGCCCACCTCTCGAAGCTACACTGTGAGGTGATATGTCTCTAGGTATGGGCCAGAAAAACTTCCCCATTCGCTCACACTCACCCCATATCTTCTCAGAGTGCAGAGTCTGTGAAAGGTTAGGCCATGTCCACACACAGTCCCTCACCTTTTTCTTGAGCTTGTTGAATTTCTTCTGCAGAGCCTCCTCTTCCTCGCTCAGTCCGGGGGGTATCACCAACATGGTGGCTCCTAGTTCAGGGGCAGGGCCCAAGACATCTTTCTCCACTGTTACCACCCGGGGTTCACACGCCGTCCACACTGTACCCAACCCCACCCCTTCAGGTCTGCCTACTCTTGTCTTTGGCTTTCCCTACCCCTTGCTTAAACCAGGCTGCTGTCCAAGCTCCCGCTGGTCGGGATCATCCAGCATTCCCTCCTGTCTCCAGGGATCACAGACACCAGCACCTTTAGGTACCATGTGGTTCAAGGAGGGACAAATATCCACTCCGTCGGAAAGACGATGGCACCCGACCCCCCTACCCTCGCTAGGGTAAGGACAACCGCGGGGTTTGAACGGCAGAGAAGGCGGTGGAGCCAGCGTAGCGCCCGCAGAGCAACGCAAAGAGGAAGAACAGAGAAACGGCTATGAGAAAAAGGGCCGAAGAGTGAGAAGCAGAGGGCCTTACCCGAGGGGGCGGCAACCGGGGGCCCCACGGTCTCCGGCCGCGCCCGCGCTGGCCGCTGATAGCGGGCTCACAACGATGACGTAGCGAGGAGCGGAAAACGCGGTAACCAAGGCGGCCCCAGGCGCGCACTTCCGCCCGGCCTTCCACCGGTCCAGGTCTGCCCCTCCGCAGCGATAGTTCACGCTCTCGGCGGGGCTGTACCGGAAGTTGCCTCTACTTCCGCCCGTTCCGGGGCGGGGCTTACTTCGCAGCGACTACTTGCCGCACTTCCGGGCTGCCAGGCAGCTGCTGTGGCTCCAGGATGATGGAGACAGAGCGACTTGGTGAGGGGGAGGGGAGGGAAATGGAACGGAGTAGCCGATATGGAATGAACTTTGACCCCTGACTTTTGACCTTTCCCCGTAGTGCTACCCCCTCCAGATCCCCTGGACCTACCCCTTCGGGCCGTGGAGCTCGGATGCACGGGGCACTGGGAGCTGCTGAACTTGCCTGGAGCTCCAGAGAGTAGCGTGAGTGACTTTTGACCCTAACCTTTGACCCGCATTGAGTCCAAACCTCCTTCACCCTCCTCACAGTAGGATCTAGCTTAACCTTGTTCATCTGTGCCTGTACTCCTGTCCATCCCAGCCTGAAGGGGTGCTGGACAGATTACAGCCCAGTGTACCTGCAGTACGTGTGAGGACAGAGCAGAAAGGGCTGGGGATATTTTTGCTTTGAGAGCTGCTCTTTCAAATGTGGCATTTCTCCGTGGAGCTCCCTTCTGTATCCAAGCACCAGGGCACTTGGTGACTGAGATGATAGGCTTTGAGCCTCCAACCTTTCATCCTTAGGTCTGGGACCCCTTTTTCTAAAATCAGTGAGTCTCCAATTTCAGTGTGCTTCATGATTAGCCAGGGAGCTTTTTAAAAATGCACATTCCTAGGTCCAGCCTCCATGTTTCTGAAATCCAAAATCTGCCCCAGGTAATTCAGTAGCAGGTAGTTTTTGGCCAAGCCTGATTGTCCTAGTCTGTTTGACACATCTGCCATTTCTGATCTGAACACAAGTCCCATCATCTCTTTTGTCTGCATTTTATCCTCTTTCCTTACCTAATGCCTCTCATCTTGCCCTTGTTTCAGCTTCCCCATGGCCTCCCTCCTTGTGCCCCAGATCTGCAGCAAGAAGCAGAACAGTTGTTTCTGTCATCCCCAGCCTGGCTGCCTCTGCATGGTGTGGAGCACTCAGCCCGGTGAGGAGTCTGGAGGGGCTTAGACTAGGGTGATGGGTTCCTGAAGGAAGCTGGGACAGAGGAAGAAAGAAGACCCAAAAGTTACTATTTTTCTCTCCAGAAAATGGCAGAGGAAGACGGATCCCTGGTCTCTTTTGGCTGTCCTGGGAGCCCCAGTCCCATCCGACCTACAGGCCCAAAGACACCCAACCACAGGCCAGATACTGGGTTACAAAGAGGTAGGAGGTCAGGGGTCATGAGAAACAGTTGGGGAGAAGGGGAGGTGGTCAGAGACAAGCTCAGCCTCATTGGGGCTCTGATCTCTTGCCTTAGGTCTTGCTGGAGAACACAAATCTCTCGGCTACAACCTCCTTGTCTCTTCGCCGGCCTCCAGGGCCAGCCTCCCAGTCCTTATGGGGAAATCCAACTCAGTATCCCTTCTGGCCAGGTGACTCTTGTGGAGATGGGATGGTAGAAGAGGGTGTCTTTAATCTCCAGGGAAGGGTTCCCCACCTATCTCGTATTACCCTCATCCCATGAATCCCTGTCTGTCCTGTCTCTTCCCAGGGGGGATGGATGAACCCACCATAACAGATCTGAACACACGGGAGGAGGCTGAGGAGGAGATAGACTTTGAGAAAGGTAAGGTGGGGCTCTGAGTCTGAGCCTTGAGGAGGAAGAGCCCAGGCTATCACTGGGCTACTGCTAGCCCTCCCATGTTTTTGAGAAAATTAGAAAAAGATATTCTGTCCATAACAACCTTTACTGTCATCTGCTGGGAAATTTCTACAACAACCTTTACTGTCATCTGTTGGGAAAGTGTCATAGCAAACATCCCTATCTACAGCATCTGTCCTGTAAATGGTATCTTTTAGGTTTATATAATGTACACAATTTGTTCACCAGTGTGCAGTGACCTGATTCCATGTCCCTATCCTACAGATCTTCTTACTATTCCACCTGGTTTCAAGAAAGGCATGGACTTTGCACCAAAAGGTTAGTTTTAGTTTTTGAGTGGGGTGTAGGAGAAGTCATGTCCTTCTCCTAAGGAACAGAGATGGACATGACAAGGTTGACCTTGTTGGCTTGCTCCTCAGATTGTCCAACTCCAGCTCCTGGACTACTAAGCCTTAGCTGTCTGTTGGAGCCTCTGGATTTGGGTGGGGGTGACGAGGATGAGAATGAGGCAGTGGGACAGCCAGGAGGTCCCAGAGGGGACACTGTTTCAGCCTCTCCCTGCAGTGCTCCCCTGGCCCGAGCAAGCAGCTTGGAAGACCTAGTGTTGAAGGTTGGTGGTTCTGTGTAGTGGAGGCAAGAAAGAGCCTTGCCACCAGGATGTGGGCTGGCTAGGATGGGTCTGAGGGGAAGAAAGGGACATCTTTTGGGAGGAGTGCTAATTGAGAGCCCTCTGGTTGTATCTTTATCACTGCTACCCCTGACTCTTCCAGGAAGCGTCCACAGCTGTATCCACCCCAGAGGCCCCAGAGCCTCCATCTCAGGAGCAGTGGGCCATCCCTGTGGACGCCACCTCCCCTGTTGGTGATTTCTATCGCCTCATTCCCCAGCCAGCCTTCCAGGTACTTTGGCCCCATCTTCACACGCTCCTCTACCTCTTTCTGGGTCACACTCCCAGCCGACCCCTTGTCTCCTCTATTGGCCAGAGGTCAGATCCATCCCAGGCCAGTCTTGGTACTCAGTCCCAGCCTCGGCTGGCTCCGGCCTTCATCCGCCCGCCCTGCGTGCTCCATGAGCAGGAGGCAGCAAGGCCCCGCTCCTTTCTTCAGCTCCTGTCTATTTCTCTCTCCCATAGTGGGCATTTGAGCCAGATGTGTTTCAGAAACAGGCCATCCTGCACTTGGAACGGCATGACTCTGTCTTTGTCGCAGCTCACACATCTGCAGGAAAAACAGTTGTGGCTGAATATGCCATTGCTCTGGCCCAGAAACACATGACACGGTATGAGTTCCTTTGCCAACCTCCCCCTTCACCAGCCAGCCCCATTTTCTCCTGCATCCTTTGAAAATCTCATCTCTTCCCCCACCTCTCTAGCTCATCCTTTAAGTGAGAGGTTCAGGGCTAAGACTGAGACAAGAGCCCAGAGAGAAATGAAAAGACATGGTGGGGAGAAAGTTTAGAAGAATGACCTGGGTTAGTTTAGGAAGGGGTTGGGGACAGAATTTTTCTGGGGTTATATCATGCAGGAGAATGTAAGGGCAGTTTGGGTGAAGAAGAGGAGCACCTGAGCTTCTGGGGCATGCTTCCACGAGGGCTCCATGTGGGAGAGGAAGTGCGGGCCATGAGTCTGCGGAGGGACTGGCTAACTTCATGCTCTCTTCCCAGCACCATCTACACTTCGCCCATCAAGGCCCTGAGCAACCAGAAGTTCCGGGACTTCCGAAACACATTCGGGGATGTGGGGCTGCTCACCGGGGATGTACAGCTGCATCCGGAGGCCTCCTGCCTCATCATGACCACAGAGATCCTTCGGTGAGAGATGGACACTCAATACAGGGGAGTTTTGGCTGGGAAGATGTGGCCGTTGTGGAGAGTGTGCTGTCTGAGGAGTGGGTGGAGACGAGCCACTGGGGAGTCAATCCTTGGCCTCTTCTCCCCAGCTCCATGCTGTACAGTGGCTCAGATGTTATTCGGGACCTGGAGTGGGTCATCTTTGATGAGGTTCACTATATCAACGATGTCGAGGTAAGGGCCATGGGCTCCCCAGAACCCGGCAGTCCTCTCCTTTGGGACCAGTTGAGCGTCTCCCTTATTCCACACACTCAGGGCCCCTTACTGCTTTCTTTACCCCCATATGGAATCCTGTGCCTCTTTATGGGCAGAAGGGCGGCCCCTGCCCTCATGTGACCTCCCTTCCCTCTCTGTGCCCAGCGTGGGGTCGTGTGGGAGGAGGTGCTTATCATGCTACCTGACCACGTTTCTATCATCCTTCTGAGTGCCACCGTCCCCAACGCCCTTGAGTTTGCTGACTGGATTGGGTGAGACGTGTGTCCCGGGTTGCCTGGGTGAAGGGGGCTACAGTACTCCTTGATTCGGGTGGGGGACTAAGTCTACCACAGCAAGGAGAGCGGTCAGGCCTTAGGGGTGATGCTGGGGAACATGTCCCACCTGGTGGCTGTGGGATCCCCTTTGGGTCCAGATTACTTTGCATGTTGAAATGGGATGAGATGTTGGGGGATAGCCTTCCATTCTGGGTCTCAGAAAAGACTGGGTAAAGTTGGAGGGGTAGGGAAGGGGGTGGGGATGCGGGTTCCTTCCCACGTTCCCACCCCTGACCTGCTTCCCTCTCCTTTCTTCAGGCGGCTGAAGCGTCGTCAGATCTATGTGATTAGCACTGTAACCCGCCCCGTGCCCCTGGAGCACTATCTTTTCACAGGGAACAGCTCCAAGACCCAGGGGGAGCTCTTTTTGTTGCTGGACTCCCGAGGAGCCTTCCATACAAAAGGGTAAGCCTCGAGATGGGGGAAAGAGTTAGGGCTGGGCCCCCAGCTGGACATTGTGGCTACCCCTCCCTGTGCCCCAGGTACTATGCAGCTGTGGAGGCCAAGAAGGAGAGAATGAGCAAACACGCCCAGACCTTTGGGGCCAAGCAGCCCACACATCAGGGGGGCCCTGCACAGGTGAGAACTGGGAGGGTTTTGTACCTGCCAGCACCTGTTTTTCCTCCTATCTTTTTTTTCCCCTTGTCCCCCAGGGGTTTTGACTTGAGCTTTGAGCACTGCCCCAGTTAACACTAGCTCACCTCTCATTGGTTCAGGAACTCAACCTCTGCTCCTTCCCCTTCCCCTTCCTTCTCCAGGACCGCGGAGTGTACCTGTCCCTCCTGGCCTCCCTCCGCACACGTGCCCAGTTGCCCGTGGTGGTGTTCACCTTCTCCCGGGGCCGCTGTGATGAGCAGGCCTCAGGCCTCACCTCCCTTGACCTCACCACCAGTTCGGAGAAGAGCGAGATCCACCTCTTCCTGCAGCGCTGCCTTGCTCGCCTCCGTGGCTCTGACCGCCAGCTGCCCCAGGTGCGTCTGTGTGCGTCTGTGTGCGTGCATGCACACATTTGGCAGACTGGTGGGGATAGGGTGTTCCGAGACTCCATCCCTGACCATGGGCCTCCTCCCACCAAAGGTCCTGCACATGTCAGAGCTCCTGAATCGCGGCCTGGGTGTGCACCATAGCGGCATCCTGCCCATCCTCAAGGAGATCGTGGAGATGCTCTTCAGCCGTGGCCTGGTCAAGGTGCATGTGGTGGTGGAAAGGGACTCCTCAGGGTGCTTGTTGCCCACTTAGGGGCTGCCCAGAGGGCAGAGGGGCAGAGGTTTAGGCAGGCCAGTGCTGTGGTTAAGAATCTGGGCTCTGGATTCAGACTACCTGGGTTTGAATCCCAGGTACACCATGTATTCACAGTATCATCCTGGACCAATTATTTAACCTTCCTGAACTTTAGGTTTCCCATCTTAAAATGGGGATGCATAAGATATGAATACGTAGGTCTCAGAAAAGAAACCCAGGAAGCTAGCAAGCATTCGAAAAGTTATTAGTAATCAGAAATATACAAATTGAAGTACTCACAAGATACGACTTTACAGCTATTAGACTGGTAAAATTTAGGAAACTAGTTCATGCCGAGTGTTGCCAGAGATATAGGAGGTTGTAGGGTTCTGGGAATCCTTTACGGGATGCCTAGCCAGTTTGGAATGCACGCTGGCACTATTTAGACAAAATAACTATATTGGCCGGGCATGGTGGCTCACACCTGTAATCCCAGCACTTTGGGAGGCTGAGGTGGGTGGATCACAAGGTCAAGAGATCGAGACCATCCTGGCCAACATGGTGAAACCCTGTCTCTACTAAAAATACAAAAATTAGCTGGGCATGGTGGCAGGTGCCTGTAGTCCCAGCTACTTGGGAGGCTGAGGCAGGAGAATTGCTTGAACCCAGGAGGCAGAGATTGCAGTGAGCCAAGATAGCACCGCTGCACTCCAGCCTGGGCAACAGAGGGAGACTCCATCTCAAAACAAAAACAAACAAAGAAACAAACAAAAACTATATCATACTCTGAGCTTATATTTCATTCCTGGGTATATATCACAAAGAAATTCTCACCCTGGTCTGTGAGAGAACATGTACACCCATCCTTTGTTTGTGGTGGCATGGTGTTGGTAGTACCAGGGTGCCCTTCACTGGGAGAGAGGGAAGGTTAGTGTGGGGGATGCACCCATAGAGTGTTCTGCAGCAGTTGGAAGCAGTGGGTTAGATGTGGCCACAGGAACATGGACAGATGTTGAAACACTAGGTGGAGAAAAAGAAGCAAAAAAAAATCAGATATATAACCACTTTTTATATGAATTATAAACTACAAGCTCACAAAAGAAGACATGTTCTATAAGATCATATTTATATAAAAAGATATTTGTTGGATACATTGGAATGATTGCAGTCAGGGATGGGAATGGGATATGAAGGTAAAAGTTAAGAAATAGAAATAAGTAGCTACATAAGTAAAATGAGGAAAACAATAATACCTGCCCTATAGATTTGCCTGGAGAGTTCAGTGAGATCCCATAAGTAACAACTGGGATGGTGCCTTATGCCTACAAAGTAAGGTGGGCTTGGCCAGGGCTGGGGGTGTGTGTATGTAGAGCCTTTGCTGATCCTTTCTGTTCTCCTCTGTCCCAGGTCTTGTTTGCCACAGAGACCTTTGCCATGGGAGTAAACATGCCTGCTCGTACAGTAGTGTTTGACTCCATGCGCAAACACGATGGCTCCACCTTCCGGGACCTGCTCCCTGGGGAGTATGTGCAGATGGCAGGCCGGGCAGGGCGGAGGGGCCTGGACCCCACAGGCACCGTTATCCTGCTCTGCAAGGGCCGAGTGCCCGAGATGGCAGACCTGCACCGCATGATGATGGTGAGCGGGCCAGCATGCTCGGCAGGGCCCCAGCTCCAGGACCTTGCTGGATTCTGTCTTCGATTCTCCTCTCTTCTTTTTCTTCTTCCTTTTTTTTTTGGAGACAGGGTCTTGCTCTGTTACCTAGGCTGGAGTGCAGTGGCACAATCTCGGGTCACCGCAACCTCTGCCTTCCAGGCTCAAGGGATCCTCCCACCTCAGCCTCCCAAGTAGGTGGGATTCCAGGCACATGCCACACAGGCCTGGCTAATTTTTTTTTTTTTTTTATGCTTTGTAGAGATGAGGTTTTGCTATGTTGCACAGGTTGGTCTTGAACTTCTGGGCTCAAGCAGTCTGTCTGCCTCAGCTTCCCAAAGTACTGGGATTATAGGTGTGGGCCACAGCGCCCAACTTCCTCCGACTTTTTTGTTTTGCCTGGGAGAAGCTGAGGTAGGAGTGAGTGAATCCAAGGATGAGATTGGAGCCCATCTCTTCCAGTTTTCTCCCATGTGAATATGGAGCTAGATGGGGCCTTTGAGTCCATTTATTTCAGTTTGCTCCCTTATGTTACAGAAGAGGTGAGCAAGTGGTTTGTCCAAGGCCCCATGGTTGCAGAGCTAGGACCGGATCTGACGGGAGTAGGCCCAGTCCAGAAGACTGGCTGGGGTTCAGTAGGTCCCACCCTGATCTCAGTGACTTCTGTGACCTGACTCCAGGGGAAGCCGTCCCAGCTGCAGTCCCAGTTCCGCCTCACGTACACTATGATCCTCAACTTGCTGCGAGTGGATGCCCTCAGGGTGGAGGACATGATGAAGAGGAGCTTCTCTGAGTTTCCCTCCCGCAAAGACAGCAAGGTAAGGAGCCTGGGGTAACCAGTGTGTGGAGCAGGAGGTTGGCCAAAGACAGGCTGGGAATAGGTAGGCATCCAGAGGCCAGTGTGTTGAGGGTGGGGAGTGTGACAGATTGGGCCTGGAGACTCCCCTTTCACAGCTTCCCCTGCTCCCACCCAAGGCCCATGAACAGGCCCTGGCTGAACTGACCAAGAGGCTGGGAGCTTTGGAGGAGCCTGACATGACTGGCCAACTGGTCGACCTGCCTGAATATTACAGCTGGGGGGAGGAACTGACAGAGACCCAGCACATGATCCAGGTGAGCAAGTGTGAGTGCTGAGGAGGTGATAGGAGAAGGGAAGAGAAGATCGTGTTACTCTAGGTGCTACTAAACTTAGTCCAAGTGTCTGTCCCTGTGATGCCTCCTCCCATCTGTCCTTTGCTCTTCAGCGACGCATCATGGAGTCTGTGAACGGGCTGAAGTCTCTCTCAGCAGGAAGGGTGGTGGTTGTGAAGAATCAGGAGCATCACAACGCATTGGGAGTGATCCTACAGGTGAGGGTGATGGGAATTTGGACTCCAGAGGGTGGGAGGGAGCAAGCCCTCTCTCCATTTTCCCCACTTGGCCAGGGCAGGTTGCGTCATCATAGGGCCCTCATTTTCCCCTCTTGCCCTCCTTTTCACCCTCTCCCTTCCCATCACCACATCATGCTCACTCCTTCCTCCCACCACCCCAAGAAGTCTGCTCTGATCGCTTGACTTGGTTGCCCCTCTCTACTGGTGAGCTCTGCATGGTTGCTTCCTGATTCCTGCCCAAGGGTGGGTATCTGGTCTCTGCCTTTGATGTCTACTCATCACACCCCCCTCTCCTGGCCTCTCTGACCACCCCCAGGTCTCCTCGAACTCCACCAGCAGAGTATTCACAACCCTGGTCTTGTGTGATAAGCCCTTGTCCCAGGACCCACAGGACAGGGGGCCAGCCACTGCAGAGGTGCCCTATCCAGATGACCTCGTGGGATTCAAGCTGTTCCTGCCTGAAGGTGAGAGTGTGGCAGATGTCTGTTTTCTGCCAGCAGTATAAGCAGGATGCCTGGGTCCATGGCAATGTCTGCCCTGCTCTCCCCTTTTCACAGGGCCTTGTGACCACACCGTGGTCAAGCTCCAGCCAGGAGATATGGCTGCCATCACCACCAAGGTGCTCCGGGTGAATGGGGAGAAGATCTTGGAGGACTTCAGCAAGAGGCAGCAGCCAAAATTCAAGTCAGAGATGCTAGGGAGGCCCTTCTCCTCCAGAGGGGCACGTAGAGGCAGGGAGGGGCAGTGGTCTGGGAGTTTCCTCCAGCCTGAGGGAGACCATGAAGTGGTGGGGTTGTAGTGAGGGGGCTCCCCCAGCCTAAGGGAGACTGTGAAGTGGAGGTTGTAGTAAGAGGGCTTCCACAGCCTGAGGGAGGCTTCTGTGGGAGAGAAGATCTTACCCCAGATCTTAAGATCTGCTCCCTCTTCAGGAAGGATCCTCCCCTTGCAGCCGTGACCACTGCTGTCCAGGAACTGCTGCGTCTGGCTCAGGCCCACCCAGCCGGACCTCCCACCCTCGACCCTGTCAATGACCTGCAGCTCAAAGATATGTCAGTTGTAGAGGGTGGGCTCCGGGCCCGGAAGCTGGAGGAGCTGATCCAGGGGGCTCAGTGTGTACACAGCCCCCGTTTTCCTGCCCAGGTAGGACCCTGGGTGGTAACTCCCAAGCTGGGAGTAGGGGCTTTTCCTCTGTGGTCCCCTGTAGACTGACCGCCCCCATCTCAGCCCTTGTCCTCAGTGCACCCCTGCTAAGGGGCAAGGAGAAGGCTGACGGGTGGCTCTCTGCAGTACCTGAAGCTGCGGGAGCGAATGCAGATACAGAAGGAGATGGAGCGGCTGCGCTTCCTACTGTCGGATCAGTCATTGCTGCTGCTTCCTGAGTACCATCAGCGAGTAGAGGTGGGTGGGGCAGTGGTTGGGGCAGGGGGGCTAGGGGACAGCAGTGTGTCCAATGCCCACCCTTTTTCTTGCAGGTGCTCCGAACCCTGGGTTACGTGGACGAGGCGGGCACTGTGAAGCTGGCAGGGCGGGTGGCTTGTGCCATGAGCAGCCATGAGTTGCTCCTCACTGAGCTCATGTTTGACAATGCACTGAGCACCCTGCGGCCTGAGGAGATTGCTGCCTTGCTCTCTGGCCTGGTCTGCCAGAGCCCTGGGGACGCTGGGGATCAGCTCCCAAACACCCTCAAGCAGGTAGGGGACACCACCCCTTTCTCCCTGCCAGGGCTGTGGCATTCCTGACCTTCACCTTCAGGTAGTCCCCCAGGTGACCCCCTCCAGCCCTGTAAGTGCCCCAAGGATGGAAAATGGCTGCCTTCTTGATCTGGTCCTTCCCTGTCCTGGAGCAGGAAGGCAGGCCTTAACCTCTCCTTCTTTCCTGCAGGGAATAGAACGTGTCCGGGCTGTGGCCAAGCGGATTGGTGAGGTCCAGGTGGCTTGTGGCCTGAACCAGACGGTGGAGGAATTTGTGGGGGAGCTGAATTTTGGGCTGGTTGAGGTTGTATATGAGTGGGCCCGGGGCATGGTGAGTACCTGAGGTTTGGGATTTTGCAGACGGCTGGCTGGGGAGAACCTGCCCAGGCTGAGTGCATCCAGTCCTCACCCTACTTTCCCCACAGCCCTTCTCCGAGTTGGCAGGGCTCTCAGGGACCCCTGAGGGCCTGGTGGTCCGCTGCATTCAGCGCCTGGCTGAGATGTGTCGCTCACTGCGGGGGGCAGCCCGCCTGGTAGGAGAGCCTGTGCTGGGTGCCAAGATGGAGACAGCGGCTACCTTGCTACGGCGGGACATCGTATTTGCGGCCAGCCTCTACACCCAGTGAATGCCCCATGTAAAAACATGATGATAAAACAGCAAAGCACTGTTGTGTGCTTGAGTTGCTGGACAGGGATGACTCAGCTAAGAAGACAGCGAGAGAACCTCTTAGAAATATGCTTTTATTATCTGCACACAGAGATATGACTGCCTCCCTCTAAAGCATTACTATTTGGGAGAGGGAGTCTTGGGGGGTGATGGGAGGTCCTGAGTCATAGCTTCCACATACCATATGGGCAGGAAGGCGTAAGGTGCATCTTGGTGTACAGACACGGTGACTGGGCCGCCAGGCTCCCAAGAGAAGAGATGAACGAGCCTGGGGGGCAGATGGAGGCATCAGTTGAGGGCCAGAGGCTGGATCCTGGGATCCAGAGGGGAGGGACAGAGCTGAATGCCTCACCTGGGGTCATCCTGGACAACCGTGCTCTGGGCAAAGCTAAGGAAGGCGGCACAGAAGTTCATGCACACAGAGGGATTCCAGCCGTCACGGTCATTCTGGAGCAGGCAGAGGAGGAGGCAGAAGATGGGCAGTGGGGGTGGTGGGAGGAGAGAAGGCAGGCTGTTGCCCTGGATGCTAGACCTGTGGTCTTGGTGTTTGGGGATACGGGTGGGAGCTGCAACATCGTTCCCTTACCCTGACATATTCAAACATCTTCATGGTAGGAAAGGTCTTGAGGGAAGAGACAAAACCGTCTGGGTTACGGAAGCCAGCAACAACATTCGGGACCCCTGGGAGGAATGACTGAGCCCACCATTTCAGGAGCTTGTGTCTGACAGGAAAAGCAAGGGATCAGTGGGACCCCTCGTGCACCCTCCATTCTGCCTTCACCCTCCTCCCCAAGTCCCTTTCCCAGCCTTCAAGCCTAAGCTCTCGCCCTGCCCACCCCGATCCTGAACCTGTAGAAACTCCTCCATTGGCCAGGGCTTTGCATCTCCTTGGAGGTCTTGAGCTCCACATAGCAGGTCGGGGGCTGTGTGGATGGGGCTTGGGGGTCTGTGCAGTCTACCTCCCCTGAGAAGAGCAGAGGGTGGCTTCCCAGGCGGCTGCGTAGCACAGAGCAGAAGGCCACGTTGGTGTTAACCTCCCCAGAGGGGTCTGGGGAGCTTCCAGGTTTGTCTGCACAAGGAGAGAAGCAGCAGCAGGCGTGGGGGGCTCTCAACCTCTGGGAAGGGGAAGGGGGCTATGAAGCAGGGGCAACTCACCTGCACACATGTACTGCTCAAATTTGTATCCCATGTACATAAGCTCCCGGAGGAGCGGTGGCCGAGCAAGCCTCTGGGCCCGAGCGTTCGGTGTCTCCACTTCACTCAGGTATAGTGTTCCCTGGAACCGGGAGGCTGCCAGCTGCCAGCCCTCCTGCCGCTCATACGGTGTCGTCAGCAGTTTTGTCAGGTGCCCCCGCCACGTCACTATGGCCTCTGCCAGCCAGCCTGGACCCCTGAGAGGCAGGAGTTACAGGCTGAAGGTCTGACACAAGCATTAGTGAGATGCTCCCCTCGAAGAATAGTCTTGTTTCTTCTAAGGACTGATTCTCACCCCGGCTTTGGCTCTCCTAATTTTAGAGGGTAGGTACGGGTCTCCAGATATACTGCCTACCACGCTTTGCTCACCCCTCCAACCGGCCTCGGTGTTCCAGGAGCCAGCACAGCAGGTGGTCCAGCCTTTCCTGGACCTCCTCGTCCCGGGGCTGGTATCGATCCGGGTATCCGTCTCTGAGGTCAAAGTTGGGGCCTGGACCGTTAGTGGGGGGTGGGCTATAGTAGCGCAGGGCTCGGGCATCTCCATGGTACTGGCGTTGAGCATCCAGGGAGAAGCAGCCCAGTTCCGAAGGGCGCCGGTAGAAAGGAAAGGGCCCAGAGTAGAGGGCAGGGTCTGTGGGCAGAGAAGGTGCTGGACGAGGTAGTTTGTTCCGAGGCTCAGCTACCTCTGTCTTCTCAGCTCCTCTCTTGGTCCCCCTGGGATCCATGAGGTCCTAAGACAAGCAGGGGTACAGAGTTTCCATTCTACAGAGGAGGCCTGGAGAAGGATGACTGGTTTAGGACTAAGCGAGCCACCTGATCGCCAGGCTCTGGCCTTGAAACATTCAGGCCCCTCAGACGCCACCGCGGCCAAGCTCTCATCCTGCCTCTTTCCTTGCCCTTCACCCACCCTCCCTCCAGGTCCTCCAAATGCAGTGAGGTTAGGAAGGACGTCTGCGCTCAGATCAAGAATCCAGTTACCTCAAAGCTCCCCAACTTCCACCTCCGCAGAGCTATGACGTCATGGCAGGCACGCCAGAGGCCGAAGGATGCAAAAGTGGTTTTCTGCTTTCGATGATGCAATCATTCAGCGACAGTGGCGGGCAAACCCCTCCCGGGGCGGGGGAGGTGTGAGCTTCACGAAGGAGGTTGACACCAACGTGGCCACCGGCGCCCCTCCACGCCGCCAACGAGTCCCCGGGCGTGCGTGCCCTTGGAGGGAGCCAATCCGCGGCCGGCGTGGGGCCCGGCCTGGCGGAGGTGATGCTGGTATGTGCGTCGCCACCGCCCCTCCCAGCACTGACGGGCCTGAGGGACGACAAGTTGACGCTCCTTTCGTCATCACCTGGTCTAGGAGGGACGCCCGGGGAGACCGTACGTCACTGCTCTGCGCCGGAAGACCCTATTTTCAGGTTCTCTTCCCTCCATTCCTACCCCTTCCCCGGTACCATAAAATCCCGGGATATGAGCTGGAAGAGGCATCACCTGATCCCGGAGACCTTTGGAGTTAAGAGGCGGCGGAAGCGAGGGCCTGTGGAGTCGGATCCTCTTCGGGGTGAGCCAGGTAACCATGGCAACCCCGGGGGTGGGGCCTCGCTTCCGGTAGCCGAGAGTTTTGTTAGAACCGCGTCCCCGCCCCAGTTCCCTGTCCGTGAGCCGATTTATCTGCCCAGGGTCGGCGCGCGCGGCTGTCTCAGAACTCATGCAGCTGTTCCCGCGAGGCCTGTTTGAGGACGCGCTGCCGCCCATCGTGCTGAGGAGCCAGGTGTACAGCCTTGTGCCTGACAGGACCGTGGCCGACCGGCAGCTGGTGAGGGGCGTCGGTGCGACCGCCGGAAGCCCCTTTCCTAACTCCTGGAATTCCCTGTCACTCAGTCACTCCGCCAGCCGTTCAGCAAGCATTAGGCCTTTCAGGCGAGGGCACTGTGCCAGGCACTGGGGTGCCACAGAGACCCTGTTAAAAGTCCCGCAGGTAGTACAGGGCATTTCAAATCATGGAGGTAGAAGAACGAGGCTTTTGGGGAAACCGAGTCATGGGGCATGGTTCGAACATACAGCGCTGGGAGTGCAGTCAGACGTCAGATCATGACAGGCCTTGTACATCAGTGTTGTTTCCATCTTACACTGAGGCGATGGGCTGGTAGAGAATATCATAGAGAGAGGGAATGGTGTATTGGAGATAGTGGATGAGGCAGGGAGGTCAGCTAAGAAGATACTGCATCTGAGAAGTGGTGAAGGCCTAAATTAGGTCAGTGCAGTAGGGAGGGAGAGGAGAGTGAGGAAGAGGGAGGAGTCCAGGACAACTCAGACTTTCCAGATGACTGCGTGGCTGGTGGTATTAGGAGCACATTTAGTTGTTGGACTACAGATAATGTGTTTAATTTTATACAAGTTGAGTTGATGGTGCATGTGGAGCATCCAAAGACAAAGGTATTAGACAGTTGGATATGAGAGTTGGAGAGAATTCTGGGCCAGTGATAATAGAATTACAAGTCATGGAGGTGTGAATAGCAAGTGGTTAATTCTGTGATGTGGTGAGATCCAGTAGGAAGAGTGGGTAGAGGAGTGATTTCTAACCTTTTTGTAATCTTTAGAAGGTGATAAAAGCTATGGCTATCTCTCTCCAGAAAAATGCACGTTTGCCACATATACATAGGGTGTATGTATAGTTAGGGGGGAAATATTTTACTAATCCTGCGAGGTCCGTGGTTAAGGACTCCAGGTTTAGAGTGGAAGTTAATAGGGTCAAATCCACAATGCTGGGAAACACCATCATTTAAGGCAGTGTTACTGAATATATGAGCTGAGTTATTATGCCTGTGTCAAAATTACGTGGGCTGCTTGTTAAAAAAAATACAGGTTCCTGGGACTCATCCAAGGTTAATGAATTACGCTCTCTTGGGGCGGGATTTGGGACTCTACATTTTTGAACTGCCTCAAGTGCTTTTTAAGTGTGCCTTAAAATTTGAGATCCACTGACATAAAGGGAAAGCAGAAGAAGAGGAATCTGTGACAGAGGCAGAGAGGGACTTGCCTGAGTTAAGAGGAACCCAGAGGCCGGCGCGGTGGCTCACACCTGTAATCCCAGCACTTTGGGAGGCCGAGGTGGGTGGATCTCTTGAGCTCATGAGTTTGATACCAGCATGGGCAACATGACATAACCCCATCTCTACAAAAAATACAAAAATTAGCCAGGCGTGGTGGTACGCGCCTATAGAGCTACTGGGGAGGCTGAGGTGGGAGGATTGCTTGAGCTGGGGAGGCGGAGGTTGCAGTGAGCTGAGATAGCACCGCTGCACCCCACCCTGGGTGATAGAGCTAGACTTTGTCTCAAAAAAAAAAAAAAAAAAGTAACCCAGGAAGAGGCCTACTGTGAAAGTAAAGAGATTTTTGAGAAAGTGAAGTAGTTGGCAGTATTAGAACCTGTGATTCAAGACAGTGGTCTAAGAAGAGGGAAGAGGTAAAGTAAAATATAAACTGAAATCTAGGCTGAGTGTGGTGGCTCATGCCTGTACTCCCACCACTTTGGGAGACTGAGGCAGGAGTATAGCTTGAAACCAAAAGTTTGAGACCAGCCTGGGCAACAAAGTGAGACCCCATCTTTACTAAATAACTGAGATCCCATCTCTACTAAATAAATAAATTAAAACACAAAAATTCTTAGCTGGGCATGGTGGTGTGCACCTATTGTTCTAGCTGTTTGGGAAGTTGAGGCAGAAGGAGTGCTTGAGCCCAGGAATTTGAGGCTGCAGTGAGCTATGATTGCACGACTGCACTCCAGGCTGGGTAACAGAGGGAGACCCTGTCTCTAAAAAAATGAAAACAACAACAAAAAAACCCAGAACTGAAATCTGTCCATTGGATTTAGCAGGTAGAAGGTTAATAGTGATCTTTCAAGAAAAGAGGAAAGAAAAGGAAGGCAGTCTAGCACTCACTTGAGGTGAGCTAGTCTCCCTGACTAGGTCTCCCGTGAGGAAGCATGCCAGATGGAACCACTCCTTAAGGAGTATTTGTTGATTTTAATGTATTGGTGTTAGCTTTTGTTTTTAAAAACCTTTAAAAGTTGCAGAATGAAAATATAAACATATATAATTTAAATGATGTTTATAAAGCAGATACCTATCTAGCCACTCCCTAGGTCAAACTATAGAATATGACCAGTATCCCACATATATCCCTCTCTGATCAAAATGTCTCTGATCAGAATGTCCCTGGGAGGTGACTGCTGTGGTCATTGTTGCCTTAGTTTTCCCTTTTTTTTTTTTTTTTTTGAGGTGGAGTGTCGCTCTGTTGCCCAGGCTGGAGTGCAGTGGTGTGATCTCAACTCACTGCAACCTCTGCCTCCTGGGTTCAAGCAATTCTCCTGCCTCACTGTCCTGATTAGCTGAGACTACAGGCACGCGCCACCATGCCCAGCTAATTTTGGTATTTTTAGTAGAGATGGGGGTTTCATCATGTTGGCCATAATGGTCTTGATCTCCTGACCTCGTGATCTGCCCTCCTCGGTCTCCCAAAGTGCTGGGATTACAGGCATGATCCACCGCACCCGGCCTAATTTTGTATTTTTATAGGGATGGGGTTTCACCCTGTTGGCCAGGCTGGTCTCAAACTCCTGACTCAGATGATCTGCCTGCCTCGGCCTCCCAAAGTGCTGTTTTTTTTTTTTTTAATTGTCTTTTTGATAATTCCACTATTTTTTTTTTTTTTTGAAAAGTCTCCCATGTCTACCTCTTTCCACACAGACACGGCAACCATCCGATTTCTCAATCTTTTCCCCACCTTTTCCCGCTTTCTAGTCCACAAAACCACCATTGTCATCGTGGCCCGTTCTCAATGAGCTGTTGGGCACACCTCCCAGATGGGGTGGTGGCCGGGCAGAGGGGCTCCTCACTTCCCAGCAGGGGCGGCCGGGCAGAGGCGCCCCTCACCTCCCGGACAGGGCGGCTGGCCGGGCGGGGGGCTGACCCCCCCACCTCCCTCCCGGACGGGGCGGCTGGCCGGGCAGAGGGGCTCCTCACTTCCCAGTAGGGGCGGCCGGGCAGAGGCGCCCCTCACCTCCCGGACGAGGCGGCTGGCCGGGCGGGGGGGGCTGACCCCACCACCTCCCTCCCAGACGGGGCGGCTGGCCGGGTGGGGGGCTGACCCCCCACCTCCCTCCCGGACGGGGCGGCTGGCTGCGTGGGGGGCTGACCCCCCCACCTCCCTCCCGGACAGGGCGGCTGGCCGGGCAGAGGGGCTCCTCACTTCCCAGTAGGGGTGGCTGGGCAGGGGCGCCCCTCACCTCCCGGACGGGGTGGCTGGCCGGGCAGGGGGCTGACCCCCCCACCTCCCTCCTGGAGGGGGCGGCTGCCGGGCGGAGATGCTCCTCACTTCTCAGACGGGGCGGCTGCCGGGCGGAGGGTCTCCTCCCTTCTCAGACGGGGAGGCTGGGCAGAGACCCTCCTCACCTCCCAGACGGGGTCGCGGCCGGGCAGAGGCGCTCCTCACATCCCAGACGGGGCGGCGGGGCAAAGGCGCTCCCCACATCTCAGACGATGAGCGGCCGGGCAGAGACGCTCCTCACTTCCTAGATGGGATGGCGGCCGGGCAGAGACACTCCTCACTTTCCAGACTGGGCAGCCAGGCAGAGGGGCTCCTCACATCCCAGACGATGGGCGGCCAGGCAGAGACGCCCCTCACTTCCCAGACGGGGTGGCGGCCGGGCAGAGGCTGCACTCTGGGCACTTTGGGAGGCCAAGGCAGGCGGCTGGGAGGTGGAGGTTGTAGCAAGCCGAGATCCCGCCACTGCACTCCAGCCTGGGCACCATTGAGCACTGAGTGAACCAGACACCGTCTGCAATCGCGGCACCTCCGGAGGCCGAGGCTGGCGGATCACTCGCGGTTAGGAGCTGGAGACCAGCCCGGCCAACACAGCGAAACCCCGTCTCCACTAACAAAATACGAAAACCAGTCAGGCGTGGCGGCGCGCGCCTGCAATCGCAGGCACTCGGCAGGCTGAGGCAGGAGAGTCAGGCAGGGAGGTTGCAGTGAGCTGAGATGGCAGCAGTACAGTCCAGCTTCGGCTCGGCATCAGAGGGAGACCGTGGAAAGGATAATTCCACTATTACTTGTCTTTTGGGGTTTGTCTTTATTCTCTCTTTGAGTTTTGTTTCCTTATGCGCCCAGTTACTTTTGAAAATGTTCTGGGCAGATTTGCCTAGATTAATAAATGCCCTCCATGTTCCAATTACTTTTTTTTTTTGAGACAGTGTCTTACCCTGTCACCAAGCTGGAGTGCAGTGGTATGATCTTGGCTCACTGCAACCTCTGCCTCCTGAGTTCAAGTGATTCTCCTGCCTCAGCCTCCCAAGTAGCTGGCATTACAGGCACCTGACACCACGCCCAGCTAATTTTTTTTTTTTTTTTTTTTTTGAGACGGAGTCTCGCTCTGTCACCCAGGCTGGAGTTCAGTGGCATGATCTTGGCTTACTGCAAGCTCTGCCTCCTGGGTTCACCCATTCTCCCGCCTCAGCCTCCCGAGTAGCTGGGACTACAGGTGCCCGCCACTATGCCTGGCTAATTGTTTTTTTTTTTGTATTTTTAGTAGAGATGGGGTTTCACCGTGTTAGCCAGGATGGTCTTGATCTCCGGACCTCGTGATCCACCCGTCTCAGCCTGCCAAAGTGCTGGGATTACAGGCATGAGCCACCGCATCTGGCCTATTTTTGTATTTTTAATGGAGACCGGGTTTCATCATGTTGGCCAGGCTGGTCTTGAACTTGAACTTCTGACCTCAAGTGATCCACCCTTAGCGTCCCAAAGTGCTGGGATTACAGGCATGAGCCACCGTGCCCGGCCCCAGTTATTTTTATTTTTATTTTTTGAGTTAGAGTCTCACTCTGTCACCCAGGCTGGAGCGCAGTGGCATGATCTCGGCTCACAGCAACTTTCTGGGTTCAAGCAGTTCTCCTGTGTCAGCCTCCTGAGTAGCTGGGACTACAGGCACACATCACCACGCCCGGCTAATTTTTGTAGTTTTAGTAGAGACGGGGTTTTACCATATTGGTCAGGCTGATATTGAACTCCTGACCTCAGGTGATCCACCCACGTCAGCCTCCCAAAGTGCCGGGATTACAGGCTTGAGCCATCTCGCCCGGCCTACTTAGATGTTATATTAGTGGTAATTCCTGTTATCCTGTGAGCTCTTTAGTGTCTAAACAATTTTTTTTAAGAGATGGGGTCTCACTGTGTTGCCCAGTTGCAATCATATCTTACTGCAGCCTCAAACTCCTGGGTCAAGTGATCCTCTTGCCTTAGTCTCCCAAGTAGCTAGGACCATAGGTGTCTGCCCCCACGCCTGGCTGTTTTTACATTTTTTGTAGAGATGTGGCGGGTGGGGGGGTCTCACTGTGTTGCCCAGACTGGTCTCGAACTCCTGTCCTCAATTGATCCTGCTACCTCAGCCTCCCAAAATGCTGAATTACAGGCATGAGCCACTGTACCTGGTCTTAAACAATTTTAAAATAACATTTTTATCCAGGATTTTAGTTAATTTTCAACAGGTGGATTAGTTCTTGCTGTATTCTCGTAAACAGAAGTCCTGGTTTATTTTTATTTGTTTTAAACATTGAATCCCATACTCCTCCCCACCTTACCCTACCCAGAATTTAGACTGTTAATGTTTTGAAGCCACAGCCTGCATCTTAATCACTATTTTATCTTAGTGCCTGGTCTTAGAAATTATATTGACTCTTTGATAGACCATATATAAGGCAGGTGGATGAGAATGTGGGTAGCTAGTTGGAAAAGGCTGCTTGGTCATTTGCTTGATTATTTTCTCACACAGTTTTTCCTTTACTAAGAGAAAATGCCCCCATATTGGCAAACAAAATCTCCCTGCCTGAGAGCGCCCAGAGTATAGCAGAGCATCTTACCCTGATACGCCTCTTTTCACTCTCTTCTCTGTGGAGACAGAAGGAGCTTCAAGAGCAGGGGGAGATCAGAATCGTCCAGCTGGGCTTCGACTTGGATGCCCATGGAATTATCTTCACTGAGGACTACAGGACCAGAGTATGTGACTGTGTGCGTCAGGGGTGCTGGGGGGAGGGCACAGGTTGGGGGAGACAGGGAAGTTGGGAAACAGAAATAAAAACAAAAGAAAGAATTTCCCTGCCCCCACATCCCATGGAGAGGGCACAGGGCCCTGGTAAATAGTAATATGAGGGAGAGAGACAGGAGGGAAAGAGGGAGGAGTGAGAGGGTAAAGAGGGGGGGAGAGGAGGGGGAGGAGGAGGAAGGAAGGAGGGGGAGGAGGAGGGGGGGAGGAAGAGGGGGAGGAGGATGAAGAGGAGGAGGAAGAAGAAGGGTATGAGAGGTGGAAGGATCTGAGCAAGAGGTAAGACAGGAAGAGAAATGCTGTCCTGGGGGTGGAGGTTGGTAGAGAGTGAGGGTGGGGATGGACCATGTCTCTCATCTCTGCTTGTAGGTCCTCAAGGCCTGTGATGGCCGACCGTATGCTGGGGCAGTGCAGAAATTTCTAGCTTCAGTACTTCCAGCCTGTGGGGACCTTAGTTTCCAGCAGGACCAAATGACACAGACCTTTGGCTTCAGGGACTCAGAAATCACGTGAGACTTGTGGAACCAACCAAAGTCAGGCATCTGGTGCTTCCCTGCCTCCCTCCAGTTCCATCCAGCCTGTCCTCCTGTTTTTTTGGTGAACCTGCCAGAAAAGCTGCCAAAAAGCTGACTCTTCTTTTTAATAAAATGACCCAAGTTTGTATTCCTCCCCACAAGAGAGGAGGCCTATCTTACCTGGGCCTTAGAAAGAGCCCTGAAATAGAATTCAGTTCTTGGTGGCTTATCAAAAGCACACAGGGGCCTGGCAGGAAGTGTAAAAGCTTGATGTTAATCATACTGGGACTAAGAGGATAGAGAATGGTAGGAGCTGGGATACCCCTAAACATTCACATTAAAACAAAAAAAACCCAAAGCTAAAAAACAACTGGGCAGGAGCTAAATAAAAATCTAATTTTGAGAGGCTGTATCTGGCTCAGGCCTCCTACTTTGTAACCCATGGAATATGTGAAAGCATTTGAAAAACTATAGCACTGATCTCACATGGGCAGACACACTCTCAGAGAGATGTGGTGGGAGCCATGGCGCAGTCTGCCTAGGCAGTGGCAGGAGCGCAGAAGACTCTGATTCCTCTCCTCGGTCCTAAGACCGAATGTGTGTCAGGACATGTGGTCAGGGAAGAGAAGCTATTTAACTGAACCAGTAATAGTAGCAGGAAAAGAAAAAGTGGAGGGAGGGCAGTCCAGGTAGGGGGCCTGGAACAAGCAACTGCACCAACAGAGGCAGTTGGTGCGAGCACAGAACCACCCCAGGCTGGGATTTTGTTATCCAGTCTCTCTTGCATGGTTGCCCGTGTTTCTGGAGACTTGTGTAAACATTAATGGATGAGGAGGAGAGATGGTTCTCAGAGCCCAGCCCTCATCTCTGCTGGCTTCCCACTGCCCTCAGGCATCTGGTGAATGCTGGAGTCCTCACCGTCCGAGATGCTGGGAGCTGGTGGCTAGCTGTGCCTGGAGCTGGGAGATTCATCAAGTACTTTGTTAAAGGTATCCCATCTGCAGCTCAAGCCTGCAGCCCCTCACCTTTTGGTGGCTCCTCAGGCCTCTAGGCCTTATTCACCTTTCCCCTTTCCTGTGCCACTTCTCCTCTAGGGCGCCAGGCTGTCCTTAGCATGGTCCGGAAGGCAAAGTACCGGGAACTGCTCCTATCAGAGCTCCTGGGCCGGCGGGCGCCTGTCGTGGTGCGGCTTGGCCTCACCTACCATGTGCACGACCTCATTGGGGCCCAGCTAGTGGACTGGTGAGTCTTTCCCTGGCCTCTGGCAGATTATGGAGCAATGACCCAAAGTGGGATTTCCTCCCAGCTCATGCTTAGTTTCCTAGTGAAGGCCAGTGGCTCTCATTCTTCTCTGGAACCCGGGAGCACCCCTTCCCAAGTTCTAAGTTCTCCTCACAGCTTGAGCCTAGGCGTCTGGCTCCAGCCTTGTCTTTCTCCTGCACAGCATCTCTACCACTTCAGGAACCCTCCTCCGCCTGCCAGAGACATGAAGATTCTGCTCATCATTGCTCAGCTCCTCAGAGTGGGCCGGGAGGGGACTAGAAGAGCTGCATGATGGTGGCTGAGACAGGGTCACCTTGGGAAGGCTTGGGAGCCAGGATGAGTGTCGGGCTCTCGTGTGTGCAAAAGGTCAGATGTGACTGCTGCTGTTTGCCTGGTTTCTGACCCAGTGGTGGGGTTTGAGCAATGCTTCTCTGCCCTTCCATGGAAAGTGGAACCAGAAATGGTGCCAAGGCTGTGGCTGTTCCCTTTCGTGTAAAATGGTGCTGTTATTACTCTGTCTTGAAATAGGAAGGTGGGATTTCTGGGGAGGCTGGTGAAGGAGGGCAGGGTTCTTTTCTCTACGTGTCATGTTAAAATTGCCAAATAAAGTACCTCTGCCTGTGATATTTTCTGGATGTCCTTTATTTACTGTGACGTGTGTTTGGGTGCCTTGTTTAGGGGTAGAGGTGAAGTCTGAGCTTTGCCTCATTCAGAGAGGAAAGGGGTCAGGGGTTCACTCTGACGTTCAGGCCATTCTCCCTGTGGAGTGGTGAGGGTGTACCTAATCTCCTAAACCACGGAATTTCTGTTAGGGCCTAAAAAAGCAAAAGCCTAGTATAGTTCAATTTGTGTTGGAATGAAAGTAAGAGACAAGTGTCTTAGAAGCCTGTCATTGTTTTGTGAGGGCCTTTAAATATCCTGTACTCGTGGGCCATGTTGGGCCCTTGTACGCCCAGGTATACATGA
Source organism: Homo sapiens (assembly GCF_000001405.40). Lineage (NCBI taxonomy): Eukaryota > Metazoa > Chordata > Mammalia > Primates > Hominidae > Homo > Homo sapiens. The sequence continues at coordinate 3,229,562 of NT_167245.2, forward strand.
GCTTGTGTGCACCTATACCCTGATACAGATATACCTGGTAGGGGGAGGTGCTCAGGCACTGGAATGAGAGGAGTTAACGGGGAAGGACAGGGTTATTTCTGGGCCAAGATTCAGAGTTTCCCATGGACACCCAGGTGTCCGGGGTGCCCCCACAACTCTGGGCCTGAGGCCAGTTGCACTTCTTGGCTGTCACGTGGTTTCCCAGCTTAGCTGGGCTGGGGGAGGAGCAAGGTCCAGAGTCAACTCTGCCCCGAGGCCTAGCTTGGCCAGAAGGTAGCAGACAGACAGACGGATCTAACCTCTCTTGGATCCTCCAGCCATGAGGCTGCTCTGGGGGCTGATCTGGGCATCCAGCTTCTTCACCTTATCTCTGCAGAAGCCCAGGTCCTGGAGGCGGGATGCTGGGTGCTTGGATTGGGGCAGGGCTGGCATCGGGACCCGATTCAGGAGTGAGGGAGAGCAGGGGTGGAGGTGTCAGAGCGAAGTCTGACTGCTGATCCTGTCTGTTCTCCCCAGGTTGCTCTTGTTCTCTCCTTCTGTGGTTCATCTGGGGGTCCCCCTATCGGTGGGGGTGCAGCTCCAGGATGTGCCCCGAGGACAGGTAGTGAAAGGATCAGTGTTCCTGAGAAACCCATCTCGTAATAATGTCCCCTGCTCCCCAAAGGTGGACTTCACCCTTAGCTCAGAAAGAGACTTCGCACTCCTCAGTCTCCAGGTAACCAGACCCCATGCCCTCCTGCTGCTTGTGGGGGCCTCCTGCCCTGTTCCCATCTGTCTTGTAAGTGTCATCATCTTCCCACTGGCCTCCTCCCCTCCTGTCTTCCCACCCTGGCATTCTCCTTCCACGTTTCTCCCTTGGTCTCTGTCCTTTTTGGTCAGCTGTCTCTTGCTCTGTGACCCGCTCCCTCTCCCTCTCCCTCTCCTGACAGGTGCCCTTGAAAGATGCGAAGAGCTGTGGCCTCCATCAACTCCTCAGAGGCCCTGAGGTCCAGCTGGTGGCCCATTCG